>NC_000009.12:30767575-30919090 GCF_000001405.40 Homo sapiens | reverse complement strand
AGCAAGTACAAATGCTTGTACTTGTCTAGAGTGTCTGCCTGCAGCTGCTTAAACACTTGAACACTCAGATTTGGCTGTACCGCTTTTATTCATCACAGATAACTAAAGTTCACCATAGAATTTGCCTATAACTTTCTGTTATTGATCGCTATCCCTATCCTGACGCCAGACTCTGAACTCCTTATATGAGAAACAGTCTCCAACTTTGATTTACTGTAATGTCAGTGACATGACTACATTTTTGTAGGCAGTAGAGGTCAATTCAAACCATGCTTTATTGCCACTTATAAAACCGTAGCATGACAGTAGGCCAATTATAGCTTACTGAATTCTTAAATGGTATAGCACATGAAATGATCAAAACATTGTTTGGGGTTATTGTTAAGCCCACTGAGTACAAATGTTGCTACATATTATTGAACTTCCACATAAGAAAATATTGCTGCACACACAAAAAGACAAAATGATAACAGGGAATTAGTGTATAGACAATTAAACACACCTGGTGATAATAAATTTGCTCCCAAGTAACTCTGAGTAGCTTTTTTTCCTCTAGTCCCATTAATAGTTGATTTTCTGGTCAGGTGCACTATTGATCGATTTGTACTGAAGCCATTTCTTCCTCATTAGCTTTCCAAATTTTCCTTTGCCTCAATTTTCCTCAGATACAAAAGCCTCACAAGATTATAGGAGACTTGTTGCTTAGCAACAATCTCATCCTTATAACTGTAATGGTTCGGTGTACAATGTCACATTTTTAGGGGAAGAGGTCACATGCTTTTCTGTTTCCAATGTTTACTCCTTTTAATTACCAGAGTAAGACATTTAGTTATTTTTAATTATATTTTTCCTACATGAATGGTTTTCGTTTTTGTAATTGTGCATGGCAATGTTGAGACAGACTACTTGTTTATATCCTTTAAAAACACATCCAGAAACTTATTCCTTATTATAAAAATACTAGCAAGAAAAATATTAGTTTTTTAAATTCTCAGAATATCTTTTCACACCCGAAAAGAGAAGTTTTGACACTTCTTATAGCAATAATAGCTGTTATTATTATGTTTTTGAGGCTTATATAGTATAGAAGTTTATAGTAAACACATTTTCTGTAGTAAATTTCTATAATAATGGAATATTATTTATCATAAGCTGTCTGTTTTCCACCCACATCTGTATAACTATTATACCTTTTGTATCTGCTCAACATGAAATATCCTCTGTTTTGCATAAACTATTTAAATATAATTTACAGGTATGCATAAGCTTAGCTACGTATAATACTTTGACTACACTATAGTTTTGTACAAAATCAAACCCAACCAAAAATGACATGTAGAAATAACCCAAAGAATAATGGGTGGAGATTAAAAAATACAGCTGCTTCAAGGAAATAAATCATATTCTAGATTAGAAAAGATTGCAACTGTCTCTGGGGACAGACCAACATAGCTACTACATTCTTTTCTCATATTACAATATAAATGTCAAGCCATTTTTGTTTGCAGAATTTGGATTAAAAGCGTTATACGAATACCCTGAACATTATGGACCTTAACACAGCTGGGTGGAATGTGGAAAAATTTAGAAATGTTATTTTTATTTGTTTATTTATTTATTTATTATTAATGAAGGATGAAGACTGAAATTTAATAAATAATTTAGGTAATAAGTCAATCATCAAAGTATATCTTTTATCTGTATTTAGTGGGCAATATCTGTATGTGAAACTCTAGTTACCCCTAATAAATGTGTCTGTTTTAATTTTTCTCATTGTATTAACTACAATTGCAGTTGGTTACTACTTTTTTTTTCTTGCTACAGTTACTAAGTGATAGAAGGAATGTTTTATTGTGTATTGAAATTGCTCTTGTCAAATGACTTCCTTGCATGTCGTGGGGAGGGGATTCACTTGAATAAGTCCTCAGAGCTTACTACAGAGCAAGGCATAACTAACCACCCTCATCATATTCTTATTAGTTATTAAATGTGTTCGTATTTTAAAAGAGGAAGGAGATAAAATACGTGCTTCAGGACAATGTCGATCTGAAATTCCACATTCTTATTGTAGGTATGTGTCTGGAACAGGTCAATTTTATTATCAACATTGTAACACATTTTATTACTTGCTGCAAATATAATTGTGATTTTTGCCATTGAAAGCAATAGCAAAAACCACAATTACTTTTGCAGCAACTTAATAATATAGAGATCTGAAGTTTTTAACCACATTTGCATTTTAAAGTTCTACTGTTACTAGGTGACTGAGAAAATATACTATTGTGCATAGAAAGAAAATTCCTGTCATCAGATGACATCCTTGTGTTTTATGTTGAAGTTCATTTGAATCACACCACAGAACTGACGACAGAGCAAACTGAAACCCTAAACCTCAAAAGCTCACTAAGGGCCAGGCACCAATATTTTGGACATTAGATGTGAATAGCCTGTTTCTCAGATGGCGTATTAGCTTCCTAGGGATGCTGTAACAAATTACCAGAAATTGGGTAAGACAATAGAAAGTCACTCAGATGGTATTCTCTTGGAAACCTCAAGGAAAGAATCCTTTCCTGCCTCTTTTGACTCCTTGGAGTCTCAGGCTTGTGGCAGCCTCACTACCATATTTGCTGCCATCTTCACATGGACTCCTTTTGTCTCTGGCTTCATCTGTCCTCCTGTAAGGACAGTGGCCATATTAGATTAGGAGCCCACCTTATATCAGGATGACTACATTTTAAGTAATTTCATCTCAAACACTCATTTCAACATAAGGTCACTTTCTGAGGCAATGAGAGTTAGGATTTCTGCATATCTTTTTGCGGGGGACACACAATTAAACTTATCACAGATGGTGAAGGTCACAGGATTAGAGCTTTACAGTTGTAGAACTTTGAGTAAGGGGACTTAGCCCTGTCTCCAAAATATGGAGAATACACTGTTCAACTGAACTGCTTCATTATAGTAATGTTTTAAAAATAAAAAAATGATTATACTTGTTAAAATTGGGATGAGTATATGGGTATTCATCTTATTTTTTCCTAAGATTTTGTAAATATTTGAATATTTGAAAACTTAATAAAGTTAAAATATGGTCTGTGCCTCTTGAAAAGAAAAAGTTGATTGGTTATGATTTTTTAAATTGTGATAAATGCACATATTTAATAACATAAAATATGCTGCTTTCACCATTTGTAACTGGACAGTTCAGCCCTATGAAGTACATTTACATTATTGTGCAGCCATCACCACCACTCATCTCCAGAACTCTTTTCAGCTTGTAAAACTACGCAGTGGTTGTTATAGTCCCTGACAACCACCATTCTACTTTCTATCTCTATGAATTTTACCACTCTCAGTACTTCGCATAAGTGGAATCATAACGTATTCGGCTTATATCACTCAGCATAATGTCTGCAAGGTTTATCCATGTTGTAGCATCTGTCAACATTTTCTTAAGGCTGAATAATATTCCATTAACTGCATATGTCACATTTTGCTTAGCCAGTTAACTGCTGATGGACATGAGAGTTGCTACCACATTTTGTTTCATGTTAATAATGCTGCTATAAACATGAGTACAACTATGTATTTGAGAACATGCTTTCAGTTCTTTTGGGTGTATATTCAGATGTGAAATTGTTGCATCATATGATAATTCTACTTCTAATTTTTTATGAAACTGCCATACTATTTTCTATAGAGGAAATATGTACCACATTACATTCCCAGCTATGCACAAAGGTCCTAATTTTCTAAGTTTTCCACATCCGTGCCAATAATTGTTATTTTCTATTTTTGTTTGTTTGTTTTTAAGCAGCTATTCTAATGTGTGTGGGGTGATAATTAATTGTGGTTTTGTTTTGATTGGCACTTTTCTAATTATTAGTAATATTGAGCATCTACCCCTGTGCTTATCGGTCATTTACATACCTTCTTTAGAAACATGGCTAATGAAATATTTTGCCTATAGTTGAATAAAGTTATTAGTATTATTTTTATCGTTGACTTTGTTTTTCTTATTTGTAGAGTGACATAAAGCTTGAGAACTACCAGCCTGAGCAACATCATGAGATCCCATCTCTACAAACAAATTTAAAAAATTAGCCAGGCATGGTGTTGCCTGCCTATAGTCATAGCCATTCAAGAAGCTGAGGCAGGAGGATCACTTGAGCCCAGGAGTTCCAGGTTACAATGAGCTATGATCTTGCCACTCCATGAGAACTTGGCAACAGTGGAAGACTCTGTTTCTAAACAATAAAAATGTAAAAAGAAAAATTTATTTGTAAACATGGTAAGGAATACCCATATATACTCATTACCTAAATTTTCCAATTTTTAACCTTTCTCCCTTGTGCACCCTAGTTTGCTATCATTTTCTCTATCACAACATAAATACGTAATTTTATAACTTACATATAGAAGTCCTTTATCTCTAAATACTAGTGTCTGTATTATAAAAACAGAAAGATGGTCCCTTATATATAACCAGTGTATACATAATCTACACATTTAAAATTTATACAAAATGTTATCTCATCTCTTATATGTATGTATTAAATCTTTTTCAATTTACACTGTAATGCCTATAAGTTTTTGGTTGACTTTTTGGTCTGCTTTTCCAGTCACCACATGATCAAGTAGACTTCCATGTTATATTTGACTTTCCTGTCTCTGGAGTCTCTTTATTTTTTCCACGGCAGCTTTTCTTTTTCCTTTCTTTTCTTTGTTTGTCTTTTAAATGTCATTGAGGTTTGGGAAAATTTAGTCAAAGGGCAATTTATAAGGTCCCTTCTTCACACAAGCAAATTATAATTCTGGAGTATATGTTTGCTCAAAATTTTGATTTTTTTTGCATATAGATTCTTGTGACTGTTTAGAGCCTATCAGGGCAACAATTGAGGCATGCATAACTGACAGTGTCAGAGATAGAGAATTTGTGGAGGGTGAGACAGAGAAGCTGGTGATGCAGAGAAAATTGACAAGGAAAGCATTATATGTCGTGGACCAAGACTAGCCCATTAGGCTCAGCAGTGAAATGTGGGAAGATAAAAGAAAACAATGAACCGTAGTGCTTAAATTTAGCATTTCATAATCTTAAAGATGAAGCTGGGAGTATAATTTGGTGACATGCCTGGCTAGCATGGGGAAAAAATACACACAAATATATATATACATGTACACACATACACATTCATACACATCATCCACAAAAATGATTTTTTTTACACTGATGAGTGATCAATAGGGAATTGAGTGAAAATTTAGAAAAGTGAATAAGGAAACCCTTCAGAAAGGGAATTGTCATGGATATGATTCAAAAAAACCAAGTTTTGCTATATGTAATCCCAACTGTTTTTAAAGAAGTTAAAAAGAAATCATCTCCTACTAAATTGGAGTGGGCTTGAGTGAGAGAGTTTGCAGTGTGGACAAGGGAGAGCTGAATTGCTGTGCATGATAAAGGAAGATCAAATGTGTGGTGAGCGCCGCGACATCCTAGGAGAGAAGAGCCAGCTATCAGCAGGGTGGGGCACTTCATGGGAGGAGAGAAACATCTGACAGCCTTCAGGGCAGAGCAGCTCAAAAGGGATTAGGGGAGAAAAAGAATTTTAAAAAAAGGAGGTTCTTTAAATTGCTTGCTAAGTGGCCTGCTGTGTAATCTCAATAATAAAAGGTGCAAGTCTGAAGAATTCTTCTTTTGTTAAAGCAGACTATTAGAGGAAAATTGGTTAGGGAGCTGCCAACATTTAATAGAGAGTCACTATTTCTCAACTAAGAATCCATCTCCCTCTTCCTGGGCACATTTGGCAATATCTTCAGATACCTTTTTTTTTTCTTTTTTTTTTTTTTGAGGAGGGGAAATGCTACTGTCATATAATAAATAGAGGCCAAGGATGCTGCTAAACATCCTGCAATGCACAGGACACCACTTCCCATTCCCAATTACTAATTTCCAGGCCCCAAATGTCACAAGTCTCAAGACTGAGATACCCTGACCTAAGTGTATGCAAGACAAAAAGATAATATGGAGAAACTGGAGTAGAGGGCAGAGAGGTGATTCTGGATATAAATCCACAGGACTTTTCAAAAATTCCTGAGAAAAATCCAGGCTTTCGAAGATCATGAACGTGGTAGAGTCCAAGCCAAGATCTCAAAGAGTAATGGCGCAATCAGCTATATCTACATTAGGAGTAAAATAAAAATACATTTACATTAATACAGATAGACAGTGGGATTATAGGATAGATTCACAAAATAGAAAGGCATGGGCAGGATGGAGAGATTGACAGGCATGGGATATGGGTGGAGTAAAGGGCTCTTATAGCCTACGTGGTCAGAGGAAATGCTGAGAGTACATTTTCCTCTTTGTGTCCCTTTCTTCATCTTCAAAAACCCATTCTGAATATTCCAGAGCTCTGGGTTATGAGACTAGAATTCTGGGCTGGAGCACACTTTCCCAGATTCCAGTTCCCAGTGATGAACAGCACTTCACTTCAGATATGGGAGAAGCATCTCTTTTGTCTAAGGAGTATCAGTGTCTGTGATGGTTAATACTGAGTGTCAACTTGATTGGATTGAAGGATGCAAAGTATTGGTCCTGCGTGTGTCTGTGAGGGTATTGCCAAACGAAATTAACATTTGAATCAGTGGGCTGGGAAAGGCAGACCCACCCTTAATCTGGGTGGGCACCATCTAATCAGCTACCAGAATGGCCAGTATATAAAGTAGGCAGAAAAACACCAAAAGGCTAGACTGGCCTAGCTTCCCAGCCTACATCTTTCTCGTGTGCAGTATGCTTCCTGCCCTGAAACATCGGACTCCAAGTTCTTCAGTTTTGAGACTCGGACTCACTTTCCTTGCTCTTCAGCTTGTGGATGGTCTATTATGGGACCTTGTGATAGTGTGAGTTAATAATAAACTCCCATGTATATAAGTATATGTATCTCCTATTAGTTCTGTCCCTCTAGAGAACCCTAATACAGTGCTCCATGCTGAGCTCACATGGAACTCATCTTCCTCCTGTGTTTGGCAGAGCACCTTCCTTTATTGACTCACTCTCAAAAGAGAAATTAGGCATCGCTTATGTTTGTGAAACATACGCATTCAATTACTTCCTCAATGACATTGGTCCAGGGAGACACCTAAGAACAGAACTCTTGGGATAGAGTAGAACAGAATCTCAAAGAATAGGTTGGGCAGGGAAGATACTAGAGTAAGGACTATTAATTAGATGTGAAACTCATGGACCACCTATTTTGGTTTAGCAGAGGCCTTCAGAATACATTTCAAACAGAGATTCAGGTGACAGATTATAAGATTTAGGGGCTCCTTCAGGAGAACAATGTTTCCGAACATATCCGCTCAACATTTATCATCTCATCTCAGATGTCCCCTGACATGAATCATGTCTTTGTGTTCTGTCTGACCTGTAGAGCAATGCTGAGAATTGCTGTGATCAGATGCTAGAGCCCAAGAAGAAGCAGAATGTTATCATATGGAGTACACATGTACATATTGGTCTGATATTCCGCACACTTTTTAGCAGAGAATTTTTGACTAAAAGCTCATTGAGGACCTTATCCACAAAACCCTTCTTGGAACTTTTTAAAGATGAAAAAAAAAAATAGAAAGTATCTTATCTACTTTAAAAATGAATAGCAGGGAAAGATGAAAAGATCCACTAAGTCACAGTAGAAAGGAATATTATTCATGAAAACTGAAGGTGTTGAGAAAAGGGAGATGGAGATTTGGTTCCCTGCCTTCATTCTTGTCCTGTGTTTCAGTATTAATACAAAGGCAATGAAATGGAGATAAAGAATGTATTGATAATTATGCTATCCTCTCCCCAAAGGCCCTTTCCAAAGGTGAACCATAGTTTTATTATTCTTGAATGTCTATTATACTAAATTGCCCTTGGGAAAAAAAAAAAAAAAACTCAGAGAAGAAGGTCACGGGAAAGACATCAAAACCTAAGACACTTCTCTCATCCCTACCCTGCCCTATTCATCCTTGGGAATGAAAGAAGGAAGATTCTGGGTGATGAGGCAATGTGAGATACAAAGGAACAAGTCTTGGTTGGTTTTGAAGGTCAGACTTCTGGGCCTTGTTTAGATAAGTAGTTTAATTTTCTCAAACCTCAGATTTCTCCTTAGTCCTACTGGCTTCTACAATAAAATACCATAAACTGAGTGGTTTGTAAACAATGGAAAATTATTGCTGACAGTTCTGGAGGCTAGAAAGTCCAAATCAAGGCCCCAGGAGAAATCTGATGAGAACCAGCCTCCTGGTTTATAGACCAAAATATTTTTGTCATGTACTGACATAGTAGGAGGGACAAGGGGTCTCTTTCAGAGTGAACTAATTGCATTTGTCAGGGTTCTACCCTCATAACATAATTACTTCTCAAAAGCCCCACCCCAAGCTAATTCACAGTGTATTTGTGGAGATTACATGAAATAAGAAGGTTACATGAAATAAGAGAAAGTCCTTGGAAAATGATAAAACACTATACACACAATAAAATTTACCATTATTTCCATTGGTGATTTGATTTTGTGTACTTAATCTTGGAGTCCTTAAAGTATTATGTCCCAAAAACCTTCTTTGAAGACCCTTTCACTTCTATTGTTATTTATCCTGGTTTCCTGGTTTCGTCTTGGAAAACTTACCTGAGAAGAGCTATGATGGCACTTTCTATGGCCTGATTGTTTCCCTTTAATTCATGTGTTGAAATCTAATTCCCAATAGAATAGTTTTGAGGGATGGAGGCCTTTACAAGGTGATTAGGCTATAAGGGATGAATGAGACCAGTGTTCTCATAAAAGAGATTCAACAGTGTTTGTTTTCCCCTTCTACCATGTGATAACACATAGAGGGCATCATCCATGAGGAACAGGCTCTCACCAGACACTAAATCTGCTGGCATCTTGATTTCGGTCTATGTGTCTGTTTTATACCAGTACAATGCTAAGACAAATTTGTCTTTTTGGCTCACAAATATATTCCCTGCAGTTATCAAGGAGGTAGCTGAAATAGGCAATGAAATTTTTGTAGTTTTGATGAAATAAATATATAAATATAAGTTTTCTACTTATTCGTCTCCTTGATACAGGAATATGTACTTTCAGATGACTTCATATATGCATTCAACAGTCAAAGCTAAATGTGTCACACTACCTGATTTCAAAATATACTACAAAGCTATAGTAAAGAAAATAGCATGGTACTGGTATAAAACAGACACATAGACCAATAGAACAGAATATAAAACACAAAAATAAATCCACATATTGACAGTTAACCCATTTTGACAAACAGATCAAGAACATACATTGGGGAAATGACAGTCGTTCCAATAAATGGTGCTGGGAAAACTGGATATCCACATGCAGAAGAATGGAACTAGATCCTTATCTCTCACCATATAAAAATACCACTCAAAATGAATTAAAAACTTAAATATCAGGCTTGAAACTGTAAAACGACCAGGGGAAAACATTGGGAAAATGCTTCAAGACATGGGTCCAGGGAAAAGTGTTTTGAGTAAGACCTCAAAAGCACCAGCAACCAAAGCAAAAATTAACAAATGATATTACACATCAAACTAAAAAACTTGTGCACAACAAAGGAAACAATCAACAAAGTGAAGAGTAAACCTACAAAATGGGAGAAAATATTTGCAAACTATCCACCTGAAAAGAAATTAATAATCATAATATATAAGGAACTCAAATAACTCAAAAGCAAATAAACAAATATCCTCCTCTTAAAAAATAGGAAAAGGACCTGAATAGACATTTCTCAAAAAGAAAAAGACATACAAATTGCCAAGAGATATATGAAAATGTGTTTAACATTATTTATCATCAGATAAATGCAAATCAAAGAACTTTAAGATATCATCTGCTGCCAGTAAAAATAAAAGAGACAAAAAATGACCCATGCTGCCAAGATGCATTGAAAGTGGAATGCTCATACACTGCTGGTGGTAATGTGAATTAGTACAGCCTATGTATTATTACATTACTAATGTAAATCAGTAAAACCATATAGAGGCCTCTCAAAAAATTGAAAATAGAACCAATGACCATATGATCCAGCAATCTCCATTGGTGGATGTATATCCAAAATAAGAGAAAATGATATATGTAATAGATATCTGTGCTACCATGTTTACTGCAGCACTATTCAAAATAGCCAAAATATGGAATCAACCTAAGTACCCATCAACAGATGAATGGATTAAAAAAACTGTTATAAATATACATAATGGAATATCATTTAGCCATAAAAAGAATAAAATTCTGTAATTTTCAGCGAAATGGATGGAACTGGAAGTCATCATGTTACATTAAATAAGCCAGGCACAGAAAGACAAATATTAATATAACATGTCTTCACTCATATGTGTGAGCTAAAACGTTGATCTCATGGAAGTCGAAATTAAAATGGTGGTTACCAAAGGCTGGTTTCTTATGCAGGGAGTATTTAGAAAATTCAATTTATTCACTTTAAGGAATTGTCTTATTTGTCAGATCACACATTTCTGTTTTATGAAATATTGTTGGCAATATCTTACCATTATCATTTTAATACACTACTGTCATGTTACAAAATGTTGTGAAATTTAACTGAATATCTCTAAGATGATCATTTAATATCTTGCATTTCAATTCATTTATCTGTAGACTCAGATGGGATTCCCATGTTCTAGCTTTTGGGTCCTTTGCATGTAAAAACGGGCAGGTCTGCATTTCTTTGTCAGAACACAGACTGATTGAAATGCTTCCAGATGAACATATCCAGTTTGGAGATCTCACTTTTAAGACTGTTCTTTAAAAATAGTAATGAATGCAACAAATACAGTAATACATTATGTCCCAGTATCTTTCATAAGCAGAGGTATTAGAGTAAACCAAAACACTTTGTCCTTGTGCAAAAATAATTTATTTTTAAAATTTGTTGTCTAATTTTCTGGTATCATTGTGAAATTTGAATAAAGCCTTACAGAATAAGATACATCTGATGATCAAATTAGTCTCATTTATGGAAATTGGGTGTTCAATTTGATAATGGTAATTCTAAGCCTACCTCTTGTGGTTCTCTATTTCTTCACAAAGGAGATTCCTTCTTATTTTCCTGTTATTATAATATCTTTATTACAGTATAAATAGCATACCCACATACACCTCTACGTTCAACATACTCTTGTTCAGTGCCAACTATTCATAGGCATAAGTGTTCTCTCTCTTTTTATTCATGTTTTTACAAAATTAAAATACAAATATATGTAAGATAAATGCAGATAGGCAATACAAAAAAATAAAACCACAAGAACTGGATAGTGTATGTTTTTTTTTGAAGAAGAGTGTGCACAAATTATTGCCTCAACTATGCACCAAACTATTACCTTTAGAGAGTGAGGCTAACCTATGTATTTATATTTCCAGGAAGAGATCAATGAATGAAGATATAGACTGATGGATGGATGAATGAATGGCTGGATTAATAATAAGCTTACTGATTTATTTAATATTTGCTACCAAATATGTGTTTATATTCTGAATTAAAGTCCCTTACTTTGAAGTCTCTCATTTTAAGAGATTTCTACAATTGGCATACACTATTCTATCATAGGAAGAAAAATTTGTAAGAATTTTATTTGCTTTTCAAATACTTGCTATATCTCCACAAAGTTTACATATATAACCATATTTTGTCGAGAGAACATTTATTTTGACATCATTAATGCCTTAATTTTAATTTACTTCATCTTATTATTTGTGCATTTCCTGAGGCTATAAAACACATACAGAAATATTCATAAAAACATATAAATTACGTGAATGTATTAATAATGCAAGCATAATTCCAGATCTGGGAAATATTGCCAATGTGCTTTGGAGGATTTAGAATTCCTCTAGGTAATTTGTGTTGCTAAAAAATATACAGCTTAAAAATTCAGCCCACTAATATATCGAAGTTTTCATCATTTCGTTTTTTTCAAGTAAATTCTCTACAGGCATTGAAATTGTGAAAAGCTCAGAGTACAGCCACTCAAATAATACTTTCAAAAGTTGCCAAAGTATTCCCTTATTGCATATTCTTTACAATGATTTTGAGTTGTGGTTCAAAATATCAATCATTGAATAAATATGAAATCCTGAGTATGTGCTCAAATCTATTTCATTTAAGGTTGGAAAACTTGAGATTTAAAACCCTAAAATTTATTCTCTAATTAAGCATGCAGGGCTAACTTAGGTTAGTCCAATAGAGAAGAATGTACTTATGGATGAAACATACCTATATATTTGTCATATTGAAAATCAGAAAAATGTGAGGGATCTCAAGGAGGTAATAAAACATTTGCTGACTATAGAAGGAAAAATAAAAAATAGTAGCAAATAAAGTCTTAAAAAGAAAAAAATAAGCAATGAGACTATGCTGTGTGGAGGCTTAGGTTAGTATGGAGATATATGTCATCAAAGGGAATGACATGTTTAGAAAATTAATGAGAAATATATTTGGTTTTCTCTATGAAGGGTCCTGAGATTGAGGCAATGAAAACTTTAAGTATTTATAATGAATTGGTTTATTGAATTACCTGCCATTAGAAAGGGTGAATTTACAATAGTTTTAAATATCCAGAATTCTGACTTAAAACTTCTTAAAAATTGTATTCCTTACCTATGATTAATATAAATATAGATACCTTAAATTTTGCGTTAGGTTTCTGGATTATTAGCAATCTATATTTTCTGTGCATTATAATTCTTCAATTTACTTAATATCAATGCTCGACTTTCTCACTTATATAAAATTTCTCCCATCTCTGGCATACCTCACACTAGGGAATGTGCTTTGGTGATGGGTGAATGCATGTAATTGTGTGAGTGTATGTGTTTTTGTGTGTTTGATGTTGTTTAGATGTTCACATTTTTTACTAGTTTTTCTTCTTATTAACCTATTTTTTATTTCCATTCGCTAAAGAAACTTTGCATAATAGTGTGTCTTCAAAAATGCCCCCAACTTTCCCTCTCCTCCCTATACACACATTCTGCTTCCCACATCAAGAAGTAGAAATTGTTTTCCTTTCCATAAATGTGGGATTAGTCTTGGAACTTGAATTAACCAATATAATATGGCAGAAGTGACACTGTCAGTTCCAGACCTCAGCCTTAAGAAGGACCAGTGCCTTCCTACTTTGCGTTCTTGGTGCTTTGAGCTGTCATGTAAGAAGTTCACACTACTGGACAGAAACAATACATGGATAAAGAGACCAAATGGTGAAGCACTGAGGCAGCAGGCATGAGAAGGAAGAAGGCATCTTAGCTTTCTACTTGAGTTTTCATCTGACGGCAACCCCTTGATTGACCCCAGGTGATATCAGTAAATGCCTTTCAGCTGAGCCTCTAACACTCACAGAATCATAGAAATAGTAAGTAGTTGCTGATTTAAGCCAGTCAGTCTGGAGGTTATTTGTTACACACTATTAATAGATAGTTGAAACATACTAAGTTCTTCCTGAAGAAAGAGGAAGGGAGCATAAAGGTCTTACAGTTGCATCCTGAAAATCAGTGCCCTGTGTCATGTATGCTCAAATGAATATTTTTTTCTATAATGAGGAACTTTGTGTATGTTTTTTGAAGAGGTCCTTGATGATGGCCTCCACCTATGGTTCCTTCATGCCCATGGTGCATTAATCAATAGTGACCATAAGTTCCCCTTAATTCCCCTCAGTATGAAACTCTCTAGGGCAGGATGGTTTATAATAACTCATGGCTGGTTCACTGTATAGTTAGTGAAAGTGCTTGGTCTCTTCCAAACAGGCCTCACTCACCCTGTTCTGCTATCACAGATCACTCTAGTCAAAGCCTGTAACTCTCAGACTTTCATTCCAGGTACCATCTCTACATCTTCCAAATTCCCAAAGATGTGTCAAATTTCATATTGGTTTCTCTATAACATTACTCAATTTGCCTGGGAGTGGTGGAAGGTGACACGATGCTCCCTCAACATCTAACTAAAATTCTAAGTCAAAAATTTGAATATATTAAAAATCTTTCATTAATGTCTTACATACTCGTGACATTGAGATAAGCTAATTCTGTCATAAATGTCCTTTTGGAATCCTCTGCGGAAACACTTCACCTATAAACCTTGGATGTATGCTACCCACTTATTTTTTTTCCACAGTGTACGTGGAGTAAATTGTTTCTGAAACTCACAATGATACACGTTAAGCACACATAGATAACATTAATGCAATTAGAAAATGAATTTCTATAGGCTATTCTCTTTATTCATAGTAGTTAGGTTTTATAAAGTCACCATGAACACCAAATTGGTGAATAGTAAAGCATTACTCCCAGGGAAAATACAGGATTAGATTCCTACAAGACTCTGGTCACAACATTTTCATCAGCTGATTAACACATAGCCTTATTTTATATGTGTTTCTGTTTAAAGACATATTATTGAATGTACATGTATATGTGTGTGTGTGTATGTGTGTGTGGATATATGCATATGCATATACATATATACACATAGTTGACTCAAGAGCAGTGGACTCAGAGTCAACAACATAATTTATGCCTGATCAAGTGTTTCTAACACACGTATTTTTTCTGTAAGGCACATCATAGCCTTGTTGATCATGAAAATATTAGCCAGCACTTCAGCACTACACTTGAGGGTCATTTTAAAAAGAAACACTATAAGAGTACAAAAATGTAAAAAATGTGGTACTAGATAGACTTTGAAAAAGACACTTGTTTACAGGATGAGGATTGAAACAAGAAGGCAGAAGATTGCCTTACTAGACTTCAACTGGAAATGTGTATGTCAGGGTGACTCAAATTTTCTGCCACTCTATACATGTCTATGAATGACTGAGAAAGCCTTGTAAGTATTGATCCGGGGTCTACAGATAAATTTTTGCCAGCAGGAAAATTCTAAAAACTGGAAACACCAAATAATTAGGTTTTAACACACACTTATGCATCAGCTTTTATATGATTTTTTTATTTTCTAGGTATAATGATATTATTATGAACAAAAAGCATAAATAAGATAGAACTGGTACCCTATAGAACAAATAGGTACCTTATAGTTACCCTATAGAAACATAATAAGCAGCTGTGATGGTTACTTCTATGTGTCAATTTGACTAGATTATAATGGTGGTGCCCCGATGTTCTGTCAAGTATCAGTCAAGATGTTGCTATAAAGATATTGTTTAAATTTGATTAAGATTTAACTCAGTAGACTTTTGGTAAAGCAAACTACCCACCAAAATGTATGTGGGCCTCATATAATCAGTTGAAGGTCTTAAGAAAAAAAGATTGAGTATGCCAAGAAGAAATTTTGCCTCCAGTCTGCCTTAGGACCTCAGCTGCAATATCATCACTTCTCTGGGGCTCCAGCCTGGAGGACTGCAATGCAGATTTGAGACTTGCCAACCTCCACAATCTTGTGAGCCAATCCCCTAAAAAAAAATTCTCTACATACACACACATGTATGTGCATGTGCATACACACACACACACACACACACACACACACACATCCTAATGATTCTATTTCTCTGCGAACCCCAACTAATACAGTAGCCAATATCAATTATTATATAATATTATAGCCACTCATTTTATATGCAATAATAGCAAGTGCTAACAAAGTGATGAGCACTTTTCATGGTAAGCGCACACATAGAATAAATTTTAAAAATTAAATTACAGATAATTCACAAGAAAAACCTAAAGGATTTTATTTATTTCAGTTATGCTGACACACTGCCTGCCTTTGTGAGGACTCTTTCACCACAAGTAACTTAGTTTGGACACTCTGTCTCCTTTATTTAGCCCTGAGATGATCTTACATTAGTTACTCAAAAATTTGTACACCAAAGGATTCATGATCTTTAAAATTATAGAGGATTGAATATCTTTTATTGATCATACTTTCCTGGGGTAGGATTTCTAAGCATTTATTTTTGTTGTGTCCTATAAAGGCCATTATGAAAAAGATGATGAAATCATGATCTTTTGTTCAGGAATATCTAAACAGCATGAAATGGTTAATAGCACCCAATCCAGTGCTCGGACCTGCTAGTTGCAGGACATTTCCCCAGATCTAACACAGTATATGTATCATTGATATCTATCTGTATGGTTGCTGTGTTGTTGCACAAGTGTGGCCTATTCAATAACTTATAGTCCTTGAATTTATGTCTTCCTGTCTAAAATTGCCACCACTTAAAAGTGAGCTCTTAAAATCCATTGCTCTGCTTTAATGCAGAATATGCCTTCCTGCTTTGATTTAGAATAGAGCAGTGGATTATACAAGCTCACCTGTAAATGTAGGTGATCACCCCCAAAAGCGAACTGCACCCTAGCTATCAAAATTGAGCAGGTCTGGTGTTGCAATCCTGGGATTTGAATGTGCTTATGTTTCAATTATCTCTCTGGAAGCAAGAAATAGAACCAACTGGAACAATACATAACCAACAATATGCACCAAGTAAACATCAGTTAAATATTAAAAGAATCAATTCATGACCAAATGGCAAAGTGTTGTATAGAGCCTAGAGCCTGAGAAAGAAAATGTGAAGTTTTTGCCCTATTTATGGGACCTCGGGAAATAATTGCAAATTTTGATTTTCAAAAAGTCAGTGGCTTGAATAGTATAAACTTATAATCTCTAAGAAATAAGATATTGAGGTTGTCTGATAATGTAGGAAAGCACAAACTATTGAGTCCATAAGAGTGACCTGAGAGCTACACTGGGGTCAGACAATTGGATTCTCAATTGAAGGTAGGGAAGGTAGCTGATTTGGGAGGCATAATATGAAGAGAGATTGAGGAGAATTGTACAGCAGGGGAAACTGTAAAATACAAAAGAAATCTCCAGCATTATCACAATAATTTTTAAAATATTATTTAAACAAAAATGTTTAACATCCATAAAAATGTTAGAGAAAAGTTTTGGTTAAAAAGTCTTAAAAACTGGATTAGAATTTTTACCCCTTTTCTCAAGTGAAATTTGTGAAATAATGAAAAGAAAATGTGTCTTAATCAAATCATGTATATATGAGTCTATGTGCATAGATAAACCTTTGTAGTTTAGTTTGTGGCTTTGTTTATCATTAACACTTGAAATCCATCTTAATGCATTCTAGCTTAAAAAACATCATTCCGTCAAAATAAAATTGCTTTAAAATTTATATTTTTAATAAGCTAGACTGTTTTATCTCACTGCTTAGAATAGATTAATCTTGGTCCTATCCCAATTCTTGGGAGAAAGGACTGAAAACATTTTTTCTCAGTTTTAATATTTTCCTCCGTAATTTTTATCAAAATCTCGGCTTTGATGACTTCTCTGTTAGTGAAAACTGGCTGATGTCCAAACAAATGAATAAATGAATTGTGTCCAACAAAGATGTTGGAGTCCTTTACCCTATACTTGTACATTTGACCTTATTTGGAAATAAGGTCCTTGAAGATGATTAAGTTAAAATGAGGTCATTAGAAAACCTCACAACAATGTAAAAAAAAGAATTTTGGATACAGAGGCAGACATGAATAGAGCGAATAAGATGTTAAGACACGGGAAGCATATTATTCACATACCAAGGAATGCCTGAGGCTCCTGGAAGCTAAGGGAGACACGTGGCAAAAATTTCCTCTCATTGTCCTTAGAAGGAACCAACCCTGCTGATACCTTGATTTTAGACCCCCAGCCTCTGGAACTTTGAGACAGTGAATTTCTAATGCTTAAGCTACCCAGCTGGTGGTATTTTGTTATAGCAAGTCTCAAAACAGGTTAATGTATAAATACAAATTGCAATGAAATATCATATTTTAATATATAATGTGAAAGTTTTAAGATTTAGTTGCTTCAACAGTCTTTTGCTAACCTTCCGTAAATATTAGCAAATGCTTTTAACATGAGGTTTAGTGGTTCTGCCAAGAATTCTAGAGAAAATATTTTCCTATTTAATAGAAATACTGGAAGATTCAATTCAATGTTTTGTGAAAGTTTAAAGTCTATATAAGTTTATGTAATCTCTTTTATATCCTTCTATTTCTGAATAAGTCTCCAGATAAAGTTTTTTTTTAAATAAGCATTGTGCTAACATATCTTCATCTGTTGTTTTCACTGAATTCATTTCTCAGCTCTTATGTAACTTTGCATATGAACTTCTATTTTTCTCAGCAGTTATTTCTGGGACCATGGTCAATTTTGCTTTGTGTGTAATGTGTCAAACTTTTGTTCATTATCTGCTATTTCTGATTCACATATTTTTCCCCCGGCATTCTGAAAATATTGTAAATTTCTGCTTGTTCTTTTGAAATATTGATTGACATCTTATTTTTTAGCAATTAAAATTTTTTTTTCATTTTGACATATTGTGTTCTCTTTATTGAGAAATGAAAAATATTATATTTGTTTAGCATAATTTTTAATTAATATATTGTTGGTAGTATGTGATACTTCCATTTTATTAGTTTTTGCTGTTAATTTTCACTTCCTTAACTTTACATTTAATCCCCTCTGGATGTGTTTGCATGAAAGCACTGACAAGGGTTTGATAATTTGTTGTCTGATGATTTGGCAGCAACAATGACAGTAGTGAAAGGTAAGCAAGTAAAATGAACTCCAAAGATATCCGGGTACTAATACCTGGGTCCTGTGACTGTTACCTTATATGGCAAAAGTAAATTTGCAGATATAATTAAGAAAGAAAAATATGAATATGACACAAAGGGAGAGGAGATAATGGAAACTATGTTGCTGGCTTTGAAGATGAAGAAATGAACCATGGGCAAAGGCATGCAAATAATGCAACTCTAGAAGATGGAAAAGGTAACGAAACAGATTTTATGGTAGAGCCTCCAAAGGGAGCCTGGTCCTGTCAATACTTTAGTTTGTTTTTGCTTCTGGCTTCTAGAAATAGGAGAAAATAAATAAATTTGGGTTATTTTAAATCACCAGTGTGTGGTAATTTGTTATGGCACCATAGGAAACCGTTTCAGCAAAGCTCCTTAGGAAATGACCATGAATACTTATGAAGAATATGAGGCCTTCCTGAGCATCAAATCATTCATGCACATCTGCGTGGGTTGATCTGATTAGGAAAAGGGTGCATAGTGAGCATAAGGTTTGTCAAGTGAAGGATAAGGGTGAGGTAGGGAGAATGGACAGGGCAACAATAGAATGGTGGGCATATATTATTTGAATCTTATAATGGCAATCCCTCAGTAGTCTTCCTCTCAATCCCTTATAAAAAAGCAATTTTATTAGCTCCTACATGAGTTATTTTAAAATCACAGATTTGACTGGCCCACTCGGATATTCAAGTGACAAAATGCAACACAGAACAGAAGAGAAGCTTATTCTATCCCCTTAGTAATGGAAATCAGCACAGTTTAAGTCTAGTAAAAATCACAGTGAAAAAAAGACTCTTCATGTCCAGGTGCCATGGCTTTTGCATGTAATCCCAGCACTTTGGGAGGCTGAGGTTGTCTCATTTCTTGGGCCCAGGAGTTCAAGATCAGCCTGGGCAACATAGTGAAACCCTGCCTGTACAAAAAATACAAAAATTAGCAGGGCATGGTGGCATGCACCTATAGTCCCAGCTACTCAGGGGGCTGAGGTGGGAGGGTCCCTTGAGCCAGTGGGTGGAAGTTGCAGTGAGTTGAGATCGTGCCACTGCACTCCAGCCTGGGCGACAGAGCAAGATCATGTTTCAAGAAAACAACAACAACAACAACAAAAAGCTACTTCTGTTATCCTGCAGTTAGGGTAATTCAGAAAACTGGTGTTTGCTACTACATCCTTCTTGTGATGGTAGGCTTTGTCCACGGGAACAGTGATGCATTGCTTCTAAGTGGATTTCCAAGCAGCAAGCATCATTGATGCGACTAGGATCTAAAGAATCTGGAAGGTCTTTAATGAACTTGAATGGGTAATACATAAATACTCCAAATCACAAATGAATGAGCTTTTTAAAGACATGGGGAAGTCCTGTGTCATCAAAATGGGATTAGTCTCAGTCATAACTATTTAGGTTTGGTGGAAATTACTTTTTTTGCAATTACTTTTGCACCAAGCTGTAGATAGCCTCTCTCTCCAAAGGTGTGACTAAATCTTAAAGTGACTAAATCTTAAAGAATTTTACTTCTTGTTTGGAGTCCCAAGGGCTACATTCTTAAAAGCTGCTTGATAAGGCATGCCGTATTTCATGATCAATTCTAGACGCTAGTCAGATAATTGTCAATGCTGGCGATACATTTTAAATCTGTGACATTCACACTATAAAAGCACTTGGTTCCTGTTAGTGGTGGAAGAGATCCGGATCACCCTGAGGTACCAGCAGCGTATCCGTAAGGGTCCGTAGCAACTTCATTCCTTGTCTCCTCAGAAGAATTTGACTGAGAGGCATAAAGCAGAAAAAGAGACGGAGGCAAGTTTCAGAGCAGGAATGGAAGTTTATTAAAAAGGCTTTAGAACAGGAAAGAAAGGAATGTGTGCTTGAAAAAGATCCAAGTGGGTACCTGAAGGTCAAAGAGAGAGACAAAGCTACGTTTAACCTTGATCCTGGGACTTCATAGGCTCTCCACTTTCCTATGATTCTTCCCTTAAGGTGGGCTTTCTCATGTGCAGTGCCTTCCTTACCCTTGGGGATTGAGCACACTCAGTGTGTTTAGGGAGTTACATGCATGCTCATCTGAGGCTTTCTTCCTTTTTTTCCAGTGGAGTGTACCCGGAAGATCATACTTTGCCATTTTTGTCTCTTAATGTGAGTGCCCAGGAAGCTGCTTCTCTCTGGGGTCTGCATTCAGTTAACATTTTTTATGTTAAGAGATGTGTATCATCAGGAGATTATCTCTTCTGGCTGCCCAATTATCATTTTTAGAGAAGCAATACGATAACTGCCAAACTATCACTAGACATTTCTAGTGGGAAGGGGGAGAGCCCTCACCTGTCCCACTCATGCCTGTCTGTCTACCTATAACAGTTCCCAAAAGATTCTGACAAAGTATGATTAGCTGAGTGTAAGGAATATCAGGAATTATTCATACACAAAGGGGAATTTAAACAAAACATGTTTGGCAGGCATCAAAAGGATTGTTCTCTGTTCTCTCTCCTGCCGTATTGAATCCTTTCCAAATGAAGTTCCCTATATTTAGGCAGAATCCCTAATAAAAACAACTCACACTGACAAGTAACTATGGTATGAATGGGAAAAGCAAAAAAAAAATCACTAGTCAGACACTTAGAATTTGTGTGCTGTCTCCTAGGGGTAATTTTTAAAAAGGTAAATGTATGACATTTTTATTATTATTACCTATGAAATCTTCTACGTAACACATAAATTAGTGAGGAAACTAAGAAAATGTCATAGTCTGTTGAAAGGAGAGTCTGAAGAGCAAACACATATATAGACAATCAGGAATGCCAAATGCATTTGCCAACAGATGCAAAATATTTAAGATCTATAAGGGTGTAAAACACAATTTTTGAAATTGACTTTTCAAGTGGGTAGAAAACAATTCTATTTCTACCTGTCATTTGCATTTCTATGGACAACAAAAGTGTGCATTATCTTTGGTGTCCTACAGCTTGTAGAGTTGTAGTCAAGGAGAATGAGCATTGTAGATTTTATAGAATTAGGTTAAGTAAAAAAAAATGCTTGAAAAAACCCAACACCTTATTAAAAGGACTACTAGTAATCTTTTGCCCATTTTTAAGGCATTCACATTTACTCGTGACATGTCTCTATTATGTACCAATTCTGTGAACATGGTCAAGTCATTAAAACTCTTTCAAAGTGAAATTCTTGATCCATAAGAAAAAAAAATTTTTTTATTATTTTATATTATAAAACATAATATTTTATATTATATTATATATTATATAACATATGCTATATAATATAATGTTATAATATGTTATAATTATAATTATGTTAATTATCTATAAATATATGTTATATTATGATATATTATACACATTATTATAATATGTAATATATAATATGTTATATTATATAATGTCTTATATTATGAAATATAATAGTTAATGTGTGTAAAAATCAATTTGTGAACTATAAAGTTCTATAGGTAACGGTAGTGTTCACATCCATTCTACCTTTCTGGATAACACAAGCCACCATATCAAAAAAAAAAAACTTAAACCACTTTCCGATGTAAATGCCAGAAATTTGATTTTAAAAAATTCCTCTTTACTCCTAAAGAACCTATTAGTGCAGCTGATTAAAGTGATCATTTTATCTTAATATAAAATTTGCAAGTACATTTTTAAAAATAGTTTCTGTTTTTATAAAGAAAAATATATTTATATTTATTTACATAAATATATAAATGTTTATTTCTATATAAACATTTATATATTTATGTATTTATGTATAAATAAACATTTATATATGTATTTATGTATAAATAAACATTTATATATTTAAGTATTTATCTATAAACATTTATATATTTATGTATTTATATATTTGTATATAAATATTTGTGTATTTATATATTTATATATTTATGTATTTATATATTTATATATTTATTTAATTTAAATATTCAAATACATTTATTTAATTTAAATATTTAAATATAAATTTCAATATATATAAATATATATTTGAAAATGTAAGCTTATTCCTTAGATGAGCTTATACTGCATATTGATTACCACCCAGATAAATATTGAAATGTTCTCTAATAATTTTATTTCCTGGAAACGGAAATCTAAGATTTTTGGCATTTTCTCAACAAATACATTAAAGATTAATTATACATAAATTATTATTTTATTTTTCAGAGACTGGGTTTCACTTTGTCACTCAGGCTGGAGTGCAGTGGTGTGATCATAGCTTACTGCAGCTCTGTTCACCAGCTCAATTGATTCTCCCACCTCAGCCTCCTGGGTAGCTGGGACTACAGGCATGCACCACTATGCTCAACTACTTTATTTCTTTATTTTCTAATTTTTTAGAGACAGGGACTTACTTTTTGGCCCATGCTGGTCTTGAACTCCTGGGATGAAGTGATAATTCTGTCTTGGTCTCCCAAAGTGCTGGGATACAAGCCATTAGGTAATGTTCTAGGCACTATATAAAAATATGTCTGCCTCATAAAGGTTACAATTTAGAAAGGGAGGCATGGGAAACCGAGTAATGAGTTGAGTGAACTATTTTAAACTGCAGTGTAGTTAAGGAAACAGTGTTTGTAAAAAAGCGTTTATGAGGGGAATTATTTTAGATAAGATAGACAAAACAATTCTGAAAAGTTACCATTTAAACTAAGATGAGAAGGTTAATATAAATATAATCATTTAAACAGTAGAATGAAATACTTTTCTAGGAATTTGGGAACAGTAAAGCAAAATGTTCTGAAATAGGAAGAGGTTGACATATTTGAGGATATAAAAACAAACAAAAGTTAATTGGCTCAAATTTGTTTGTTAACAGAGATGAGTGAGAGCCAAAAGTCACAGAGGTAATTGTGAACCAGAGCATCCAAAACCTTGAGGATATCATTAAGGAATTTGCATTTTATCCTAAGTGCAATGAGAAGCCATTGAAGAATTGTAATTATTGATATAACTTAACTTTTGTATTTTACATTTAAGCAAGCAAGCAAACAAACAAAAACTAATTTAGGTCAACTGTGAAGAAAATAAATTGGAAGCGTAGGTATGATCCAAGACTAGCATCCAGTTCAGAGACTGTAAAAATAATCTAGGTATTTTATAAAAAATCTTAGAATAGAATATTGGCAGTTAAAATAGAAACTGGGATGTACTTCGTAAGTAAAATATATACAATTGACTTATGCATTGGATGGGGCAGAGTGACAGAAAGGAACAAATCGATGAATTTTTAGCTTTCTTGACTGACACAGGAGAAATAATATGGTACAATTTACTAATATAGGCAGGAGTGAAGTTGGTAGCAGAGAATTTGCACGTATGTTTTTATAAGCGCAAAATAAGAAATCAACTCATGACATAAGACTCCAAATTTGGAAGTCATCCATGTGGCAAAAACAAGAAAATAAGCCATTTGAATACCAAGTCTCAAGCTATACATACATATATATATATTTTTATATGTGTATATGTAATATATATGCATATATATTTGATTTGAATTTTCATGTATATCTGTAGCTATACCTATAGTTTATCTATCTATCTATCTACCTATCTGTCTATCTATCTATCTATGTATTTAGCTAGCAAGATATCTCTCATTACTTTGGGGAGGGATATATATATACACACACAAAACAATTTTATAATATAATATAATGTATAAAATATAAAATATATAGTATATAATATAAAATATTATATGTGTGTGCATATATATATACATATATATATTCCAAATCAGCAACTTCTAATATAGACAGAAAAGAAAAGAGCATCTTGAATAAGTACTAAGTACTAAGTACTGGGATGCTCAATTTTTTTAAGATTGGTAATAATAGAAAATATTTTAATGCTAATGTTACCATTTAAGAAGAGAAGCCTTGATGAATTTTTCCAGTTAAGATAGTAATAAGTGATTACATTTGGGATGTATTTTGTAAGTAAAATATATACAAATTATTTATGAATAAGATGGGGTTGACTGAAGAAAGGAATATATCCAGGAAGAAGAAGACAGTAGGAGATGTAGAAGAGAATGCAGATTACCAAGTAGATATTTTTAAATTTTCTATTAAAATACACTTATAAATACAAGTATAAAGTATAATATAAGAAACTTCTATATTTCTCTAACCTAGTTTCAAGTTTTCAACATATGGTTAATCTTGTTTCATCATCATATCCTATGCTTCCTCCTCTCTCTTGCTCTCAGCTGTTATTTTAAAGTAAATACCAAATTTCATACTATTTAATCCATAAATACTGAAAGGAAAGAAATCTAGAAAAAGTAAGCAAAAATAAGATCTAGTGTGCAGGTAAGCCATGTCCAGGCACCAGTGCCTCATCAAATTTTGAAACATAAAAGGGTTTGTTGGAGAAGCTTAAAGATAATAGAAGAATTCTGAAGCAGCAACTGTAGAATGAAAGAAGCTACAAGAAAGAAACTATTCAACACTCTTTGAAAGAATCATTTCTATTATTTATATATAAGTATAACATTTCATTATGAAAATCAGTAAAACTACCAAACCAATAAAAACAAAACCAATATTCACACTTTGAGAAATGAAATGATGTTTGTGTCTATTTGTGTGAGTATGTGCATAGACTTCTGTCTGCAGTGTAAATAAAGATAGAAAGGGAGTTGGCTGTGTTTGGTAAAATATACCCTGGCTTTTCTGAAAGTTTATATATGTCAGTACAATTCCATAAATGTCAATTAACCTCTGTTGTAATTACTTTCTCACACATCTTATAAATCACATTGACATTTACCTCTCTATTTTAAAGATAATCACCCTTCTAGAAAAATAAGGGTTAAAGACTTTCTTCAAAAAACATTTTTTAACATGAGTAATGACCCCTCCCCAAAGTAATGACAGATAGCTAGCTAGCTAAATACATAGATAGATATATAGATAGATAGATAGATGATAGATAGATAGATAGATAGATAGATGATAGATAAATTATAGGTGCAGATACAGATATACAGATAGATACATGAAAATTAAAATCAAATAATTAAATGTGTTTTGTGAAGATACAAAGGGGATATATATTTATATATTCTTTGTCCTCCCCAAACTATTTCTACTTAAGCAGATGCTCATTCCTAAATGTACCATTATTCTAGTTTTAGTTTTTTCACTGCCCATAATAAATCTGCAAAGGAGCTACCCAAATTAAATAATCAGCAATTGATTTCCTTTAGGGCATAACATTCATCTTAATTTCTGAAGACCTTAAGATTTTAGCACATACTTGGTTGTAGTGGGACTAGCCTTACACATAATTTGGCTACGAATAACTCAGAGTCATAGAGTTTTGACATGAGCCATGCAGTAGTAATTTTCATCTTATCTGTAATCTGGAATAAGATAGAAGGAAAAGACACACAATAATGTTTTGTTTCAAAACCAAGTGTAAGCAAGAAGGTTATTGATTTTTGAGTGAAAAGATTACAATAAAAAGTATAAATTGGAGAAGGACTTGATATACCATGATGTTATACAATTTTTACACTGTATCAAGTGAAATATATGCATATAACTTTATATATGCAAGTATGTAGTTCTAAAGATAAATAGAAGTAAAATCACAGTTGCATTTTTAAAGTTCAATATTACTTTATGAACTATATAATACAGTCAATAAAGTCATTCTACGATTGTTTCTAGATTAAACATTCTAGAAGTAATGATGGTATAATACTAACAATACTAGTAATACAATAATAGTAAAAGTAATAGTAATAATAGTAAAAATCACAAAAAATAGTTAATTTTGCTTCTTTAATATGTTTGTAACAAAAATCTTAAAACATTCAAAATGATACATAATTAGGAGAACATTTAAAAAGTTGATGGACACACGTAATTAGTTCAAATCACTCTTTGACAACAAACACTATATAATCTGTATGACCCAAATTTTGTTTCCAATATTCTAAATTTTTCTCACTCTTCCTGGCACAAACACACATAGATATTTTCCTATTGTTAAGAGATATGGAAAATCATAATGACTCTTATATAGGGTATGTGTGTGTAAGTGCTAAGGAGACAGTATATTTTAGTTAATAATAGCAATTAAAGTTTAATATGCCAAGAATCAATTGGTGATCTGGTGAAAATGCAGACTTTGTTTCAGTCAGCCTGGAATGGACACTGAGGTTCTGTTTTTGTTGCAAGCTCCGAGGGGCTGCTGATAGTCTTTTCAGACAGACTAATATTTGGACAGCAAGAGAGTCAAGTTAAATGGATTTTGGGATTTTTGGCTTTATGTAATGAAGGAACAACGCCTGTCAAATAAACCCTTCCACCTGCAACTACTATAAATTTTGGACAAAATATTAAAATGAAAAATAATACAACCAACTGAAGGTATTAAAATGCAATTAATAGTGTGCATAAACTTCAGCAGAGTCTACATATATTAGAAAGAAATAGCAAATGGTAACTTATACATCTTTCATGGACTTTTTTTCCCCAGAGCAAGCCCCAATTAGTATTTTTGACATTTTGTGTACAACAGTAGAGATTTATTTAAATAATATTTTCTCCAGTGTACTGAACTGAATGGTTTCCCCTAAAAAGATATATTCACATCCTAATCTCTCTGACTAATGAATGCTACTTTATTATTTTTTAATAGGTCTTCAAAGATATCATTAACTTCAGGGCTCTGAGATGAGGTAATTCTGGATTCTGGATTATATGGTGGACCCTAAATCCAATATAAATATCCTTGGAAGAAACATAAAAAGTAAAGACACACAAACACACAGAAGAGAAGCAACGTGAAGATGAAGCAGATATTGGAGCCATGTGACCACAAGCCAAGAAACTCCAAAGTGCACCTGGAGCCACCAAAAGCTACAAACAGGGAAGGAATGGATTCTTCCCCAGAGCCTCCAGAGGCAGTACAGCCCTGATTATGTCTTTTCCCTTCTGCTTTTTTGCCATCGATATCTAAAGTTGTCTCCTGCTCTTCTCTGCTGATTTCTCAGTCAGCCACACCCAAGTTAAACCCATGACCCACTTTATCTACATTTGGGGACTTTTATGAAATTGTCAATTAGCATATTATAAAGGACTCAGACTATTTACCCTGCTGGTAACTTTAAAAACTTGTTACATGCTACAAAATATTATATTTTATAGTAGTGAGTTATCATTGTCTGGAATTAAAGAATTTTCCTAAAACCTTATAAATCCGAACTTCATTTTATGCTACAACAAGTTAGCAGGATATTAACTTTAATGAATTTTGAATCTCTAATTATTTTAGTTTCTTTGTCTTGTGAGACCATAATTTTTGCAGTTTTCCCTTATGCCCACACTTAGGTTTTTAGTAATGGCTACTTATTTCTTTACTGTTTCTGCTTTATTACTTGTGTCTTTAATGATACTGTTTTTGGCTCTCAGTTTATTTTCCTAGGTACTTATCATTTAATTCATTTAATCCTGTTGTTTTTTAATCTTATGTCATTAATTTGTTTTGTTTAATTCATTTTAAGATTTTATAGCCTGAAGTAATCATTAAATGTACTATTTCGTTTACTGAGTTATATTTTCTTCAGTTTTCTTTATTGATGGTTGTACACTATTTTCATTCTATTTTGATTTGTTGTTTGTGACTCCGTAACTTTCTTTCCAAAATTTCTGGGGAATTATTTGTCTGTCTTAGGTTGAGGCGTTGTTTATACTTTTTGTCCTCTTTGAGATAAGAAGGAGGTCTGAATTTTCTATGTTATCTTCTGTATCCTAATGATGATATTAAGCATAGGCTGGGGAGAAGGGAGTGATACAAGGAGAGACTGATGGAATTCTATGTAGTTTTTCTTAGCATTACTTGTTTTTTTCATCTCCAACAAAATCTTGCTATGGATCTGTCTGAGGTAGTGTTAAGGCTAGCAGAACACCAGATAAGATTAAATTTCCAAATTTAGTTGGTCTGCTTTAAGAAGGAATGGGCACTGATTGAAAAGGAACAGGATGTGGTATTTGAGATGGTTTCATCTGTGTTGTACATTAGAAAATAATAAACTTCCAGGTACTCCTGAAGACTCTGGGCTTATAGAAATGGCCCTTCCTTGTTAAAGTCTAGGGCCTAATGTTGCAGAGGCATCTGTCTTTCAAGACAAACACTTCCCCAGGATCTACCCCCATCTCTCTTCCTGGCTGTTTGATCTATAACCAGAGTTATTTTACAGCATACCCCAGCCATGCTCTTAGATGCTGAGCTACCTATGCAAGGGAAGGAAATACAGCCTGAAATAGTGTAAAACCTAGGCAATATGTGCTGGCAGGAATCAACAGAGAGCAGGACATAATGTTAGATAAGGGAGAGTTTATCACCATAAGAATATACTCCTGTGATGTACAAATGATCACTTTGACAAGCAACCCAGTAGATAATGCTGAGCGATTTTAGTTTGGCTCTTGCAAGCTTGAAAAACGGGATATGCTTCATTAAATGATATAGAAATGTGAGAATTTCCATAGCAGATGGTATAAGATGGATAAAAGGCAGAGAGGATTAGGCTTGTTAAGGGAGACATGTTACATTATACCAGCAGTCATTGAAGTCATAGGTACGTAGAAACCCAGCTATGCACCACAGGGTTTATCTTAAGCAAAATTTGCCAAACAAAGTAATAAGTAATATGTTGGTGAAGAGCACATGGTCATAATTGTGAAGGTTATTATTGGCTGAAACTAACAGCAAGTGATTATTTAAATAATCAGGGAATCTGATACCAATGGGGATTATAGGATCCTGACATATTAGAGGCCAGATATTGATGCTTAACAATTAGAAACATGGTGCATACAATTTTACAATGCACAGCAAGGTTAAAGTGGCAGTAGAGGTTCAAAAAATTAATAGAAGGCATGCCTGGGGATAAAATAGGTAGCCAAGATTGGGGATAATGCTAAATATATATTATCAAAATGTACCCATGTAACAAAACTGTAAATTTACCCTCTGAAGCCAAAATAAAAGTAATAAAACAAAAAGTCAAGGATAAATGATCAAGAGTCTGAGATTTATTGCCTCAAGGAAAAAATTATGTTCCTTTCCCAGTTTCCATTACTGAAGCAGTCTTTAGACCCCATATCCGTTGACTGAAAAAGAGGCCAAATCCCCACAGAAAATATACCTGGTAATGACTTCCTCAGTCCTTTCCCAAATTCACCATTTTGCATTGGCAAAGATAACTAAATAATAGAGAAGAAGGGGGCAGGAGGGGGCAGGGGTCTAAAACTCTAAGGGTTTGGGATAAAAGTGTGAATTGACATTAAAGCCTTTTCACTGCTCCATCACCACTACTCCACCCTTAGAGGGACCATATGGGCACCAGGTAGTGAAATAGAGTATTGTACTTAGTCCATAAATAGTGAGCATGCTGTTGGGCCTTGGTAGAGACAAACCATCGAGCACAAAATATCAAGTGACCATGGGGCTAGAGCTGCCCATTAGGAACTGGAAGTATCAGACTTACTGTATTTAAAGTTTAAATGAAGCCAGCATTAATCCATTGTAAAATGGAAGTGTTATTTCCTTGATTGCTTATGAGGAGAATCAGAAAATAAAAATAAGGTGTAGGAGCAGGTAGCCCAGACAACTACTGATGCCCCTCTTAACTTAGATTTATAGCTGCATTGGAGCTGAGGCATTCCATTGTGAACAGATGATGGAGAAACAAGATCAGACTTGGTTCATGAATGGGTAGGCTTAGTATTTTGCTGCAGGTCAAATGATCTATAGACCAGTTCAAGGATAAACCTAAAAGCCTAAAAGACAAGAGTGAAGAGAACCTGTCATGATGTAAAGAACATCTGGTGGTTAGCCTGGTCATTCACTTTTTGTGACAAGATAAATGGGTGTGTGTGTGTGTGTGTGTGTGTGTGTGTGTGTGAGTCTGTGTCTGTGTCATGAGCAATGGCAAACGGCTTGGCTGGTTGATCACATCAGAAAGGGAAAAGATTGCAATTTGGGGGTAAAGAATATCAAGAGTCACATGGCTTATTCTTTAAAATGATTGTAATTGTAGATTTACTTAGTCCGCTAAAAACAGAATAATGATCATTATTTACAATATTTATATTTCAGGTGTTCTTCTACAAATGTATTACTAGTATAACTGGTATACCTTTTATACATGACATTTACTATACTTTATGAAAGCCTGACACAGTGTGCTTTGAGTATTTATTTCCGTACTGTATTATCATGCTCAGTCTTTAATTTGATTTAAATAATTCCAGTAGCTGGGTAAAAAACAAAACAAAACAAAACCAACCCTCATTTGTCAATGTAGTCTGCCATATACTTCCCCTTTAAAACTATTTATAATACAATATTTTATTTTGGAAGCTTGTGAATATAGGATATGTTGAAATAGATGAGTGAATGTAATTATAGTCTATTATTTACAATGACATAAAATTATTGGAACTGATTTGGCAGTTTGTCTACATTTTTTAAACCTAAAGGGAAGTTTTAGAGAAGGACAATTTTTCAGACAGGTTATTATTTCATCAACATTATTACCATATTTTTATTAGTCAATTATTATCTATTACATAGTTGTTGCAGAAATGGTTGTATTTGATTAACATGGTATGCATATAATAATCATAGCTGTATTTTGCTCTTTAAAATATGTACTACAACAACAAAAGATACATTTCAAAGGGTTCCCAAAAACTATTATTAATGTCTACTGGAAATTAGACATAATACGTCAGAGAGCTGTGAGGTTTATTTTAATAGAAATAGGTTTTGGAAGAACAAAATTGGGTGAATTTGACAGGAGAGGAGAATTATGTTAATATACTAAAAGTATCACAGAGAAGAATTGATTTTACCCTGTGGTTTTAAACTGACATTTATAAACCTTGTTAAAAAAAATTCTGTCTATTTAACATTACAATTACCTTATCATTTTTGCCTCATTGTGGTCAATTAACATTGCTTTTATTTGTCATCCTCTTTCCCTTCATGTGGAGCAGTAACACACACTCTGATTTATGATTCTGCAGGAATTCAGGTGTCTGCTGGGCCTAATCTTTAAAACAAATTGTTGCGTGAAACCTCAAGTTAAATAAGGCTCATTTAAAAAGTATAGGTAATATCTGTTCCTTTTACAGAATGATGAAAATTACATTCGTAAAACTAGGCTGGCATAATGTGTATAGTGTTGTAAGATCTGGAGGGTGAGATCATTCTGCATAACATAGAAAAGGCTGCAATGTTCTGTTTGCTTACATTTGATAATTTATAAGAAATTACAAGTACGTTTTTTAGTTTAAAGAAACTTCGAAGGGGTTAATTTACTCCAGTTTACAAAGGACTTCCTTTTTTGGTATTCTTTTTTCTAGGAGTAATTGTCAGGTACTTTAACACTATGAGAAATCTATTGTGGAGTGGACGGAGGGGGGCAGCAATTAATAAGCAATAACTCAGCGTATATATTTAAAACATAATTAGTTTTGAAATTTCATAGAAAAGAATACTTAGGTATTATGTGATTTTTTTTTCATTAGGAAGCAGTTATAGTAGCAAACATAGAATTTACCTTGTTCAATTAAAAATTCATTTTGTGACATAGCTGTGACTTTTGATAGATACATTAAAAAATATTTACAAAAGTGTGTTGGTCAAATATCCTGACAATCTTCTGGTATTGGTATTCATTATTGCTAAATACAGGCTGATGAAATGAACAAAATTCAAAAAAATTAAATGGAGTCTAAAATTCTACTGAAGAGTTATACCATGGTCTTTAAAAACTCTTACATGAAAAGGAAGTTTTAAATATACAGATAAAATTCTAAGTTGTAACTAGAATTTATGGCATATTAAATTGAATAAGTTGAAATGTAAATGTTGATTAGCACTATACAGAAAATATTTCTCTTTTTAAATACAGGCAGAAAATGAGCACACTTTTAAATGAATATATAAACATAAATAGTGATGATAGAATCTTCACCATTTTGCTAGATATCCTTTACTCTTCATCTTAATTAAAATACTTAATATTAAATATCATATATGTAGGAATATGTTACATTTCTGTGTGTATAAGAAATTTTATTAATTTATGCAATATGTAGAATATATGTGTGCATATGAATATTACAAAATACTTTACACACAGACCACACACACATACACACACAGTTGACAATTGAACAACATAGTTTTGAAATGAAAACTACATGGTACCACTTACACATGGGTTTGTTTCAGTAAGGAGAGCATTCCTGCCTCTCCTGCCTCCCATCTACCTTCTCCACCTTTTTTGATTTCTGCCATTCCATAGGCAGCAAGACCAATCAATCCCTTTTCTTTTTCCATCTCCTCAGACTATTCAATGTAAAGACGACTAAGATGAAGACCTTTATGATGATTCATTTTCACTTAACGAATACATTTTTTTAATGACATTTTCTTTTCTCTAGTTAACTTTATTGTAAAACAATAGCATATGATAAATATTACATAAAGAATATGTTATTTGATATTAATATATATTTCCCTTATACATTAATATATAAATATTATTTTTACATTATAAATTTTAAATTAAAAATTCATAATTCATTAATTATATGTCAATATGTTAATATATAATAATATTAATATAATAATATGTTATCAATAAGGTCAACAATAGACTACTAGTAGTTAAGATTTTGGGGAGTCAAAAGATACATAGCTTTTTCTTGGCACAAGGGGTCAATACCACTAAGCCCAGTGTTGTTTAAGGTTCAACTACATTTTGAAATCTAAAAAAGTTTGTCATACAGAATGTAGAAAAATTTGTAAGTGTTCACTGATGATAGTACTTTATTATATATTTCTACTGCAAATATTGCTATATAAGAATATACCAAAATGCAGCCGTTCAATTATTCATGTGTATTTGTGTTGTTTCCAGCTTAGGGCTGATATAAATAATGTTACCATAGACCAAGTGCTGTGGTTCATGCCTGTAATCCCAGCACTTTGGGAAGTGGAGGCTGGCAGATCACCTGAGGTCAGGAGTTCGAGATCAGCCTGGCCAACATGATGAAAACCCATCTCTATGAAAAGTACAGAAAATAGCCAGGCGTGGTAGCATATGCCTGTAATTCCCGCTACTCGGAAGGCTGAGGAAGGAGAATTGCTTGAACCTGGGAGGCAGAGGTTGCAGTGATCTGAAATCGTACCACTGCAGTCCAGCCTGGGAGACTCGGAAGGCTGAAGCAGGAGAATTGCTTGAACCCGGGAGGCAGAGGTTGCAGTGATCTGAGATCCTGCCACTGCACTCCAGCCTGGGAGATAGAGCAAGACTCTGTCTCAAAAAAAAAAAAAAAAAGAAAAAAAGAAAAAAGTTACCATAAATATTTACAGATGTGTGTTAGTATGTAAAGGAACTCAAATTCAATATAACATACACACACACATATGAACACATAGGTTATGTTTACAATTTTGTCACAGCATTTTACAATTCTGTTAGGAGTAAATGAAGAGTTTTGTTAATCCATACCATTGTCATCCCTTGAAATTGACAAACATTTTGACCCTTCCTAATCAGGTAGGTGGAGATGGTTTGAAGTTATAGTTTTAATATGCATTCACAATTATCTATGATCCCAAGGCCTATAAATTGAAAGGCAATTTGGATGTTTCTCTTTTGTAAACTGTTTGTTTTTTACTATAATTTTTTGAGAGGTCTTCTAAAAATATTTTATTTATAAAATAATTTTTTAATATTATAAATATATGCCATTTTATGTGTGAACATGGGTAGGTAAAGTGTAACTATATATTCTGATTGTGTAGTTTAATTTTATTCTCATTCATGAATGTCTAATGATAAACAAAAGTTATTAAAACTAACTAATATTAAAACTAACTAATATTAAAATTAACAATTTTAATATTGTTGAATTTTCAATGTTTTATTTGTACTCTATGGTATTTGTCTGTTGTTAGAGGGATCATTGACGGAGGAGTAATTCTCTAAATCAAGTTGTTAAGATTTTCTTCTAAGACGTATTATTCAACTAAGATTTACCCTCTAAAACCCTTACAAATTTTGTTTTTAACACATAGGTTTACAATTAAATTATAATTTATTTTTAATTATGTATTGAGATAGATCTTCATTTTGTTGTTTTACATATGGATGCCTTTCTCAATATTAATTATGGAAAACAGGTTTGTTTCACCAATCTGAAATTCAAAAACTAAGGCAAATGAAATATGCTCAAACACTTTGGTTTGTTTTAGGCTTTCCATATGAAACTGTCTAAAACCTAAGAACAAATGAACATCTAAAAAATAATAAGATCGGTAGAAATTGGCAGTGTCTGGTGATGGAGCATGGTAGGCTAGTCCATAGATGACATCAGCCACTGATGGATCTGAGGGTACATACCAAGGCTGTCACCTAACCCAGAGATGATGAATATTTGTTACTCCAGCATTACTGCCAGTGTTTGAACCAAGACTTCTCTGTGAGCCTGTCTTGTAGTCCTGTCCAGATCATAATTTCCTTACAGAGTGAGGAAAGAGAGGAGCAAGAGAAAATCCTAGCAGATCCTGAGAAAGAAAATAGGCAGTTGTCACTGTTCTGTGTTATATGCTATTGGAGATGTCTTGATATTAATGTTTTGAATTTAATTTGACTAGATGCACTGCCATTGGCATGAATGCATACATGGACGCTACCACTCTGCTCCCTCCAATGCCTTACCCCAGTCAACACATGTGCATGCTGCCATAGCTGCTGGCACATGCAAGCTAACATGGACCCTGTTGCCACCTCCTTCTCTATGAAGTGCTTTGGCTGGCATCCCCACTGGAGTATTGGGACCAGTGGACCAGGAACATCTTGGCCCCTCCAGTGCAGCAGGTTCTTAACTTCAAGGGTCCAGGGGACAAAGCTGGGGACCTCGTGCCAGTCCGCCAGAGCTAGAACATGCAACTCAGAGTTGAGCCTTGGCCCTCTGAAATTTTTCAGAACATACCAGTTAACAGAGTCCACATTATACCACAACTAAACAACCAAAGATTGAAAGAAGATAAAAGCAAAAATCCCCATCCAAAGGACAGCAACTTCAAAGATAGAAGGAACATCAGCCCACACAGATAAGACAGAACTAGCACAAGAACTCTGGGAACTCAAAAAGCCAGATCTTCTTACCTCCAAACAACCATGCTTGTTCCTCAGCAATGTTTCTTAAACCAGGCAGTAATGGCTGAAATGAGAAACCTAGAATTGAGAATATGGGCAGGAATGAAGGCTATTGAGTGAGAATGTCAAAACCCAGTCTAACCAATGTCAACAATAGAGGAGCTGAAAGACAAAATGGCCATTTTAAGCAAGAAGCAAACTGAACTGATAAAGCTGACAAACACACTACAAGAATTTCATAATACAATCACAAGTATTAACAACAGAATACAGAAAGCTGAGGAAGGAATCTCAGAGCTCAAAGACTGTTTCTCTGAATTAACTCAGTCAGACAAAAATAAAGAAAAAATAGTAAAAAAGAATGAACAAAACCTCTGAGAAATGTGAGATTATGTAAAGACACCAAAGCTCTGGCTCATTGGTATTGCTGAAAGAGGGGGAGAAAGCAAACCATTTGGAAACTTTTGAGGAAAACTTCTGAGGAGATTGTCCATGAAAATTTCACCAACTTCACTAGAGAGGCCAACATTCAATTTCAGGAAATGCACAGAGCCCCTGTGAGATATTATACAAGAACCATCATTAAGACACATAGTCAATGGATTCTCCAAGGCCAACATGAAAGCAAAAATAATAAAGGCAGCTGGAGAAGGGGCAGGTCAATTCAAAGGGAACCCCACAGGCTAACAGTGGATATTTCATCAGAAACCCTACAAGCCAGAAAAAATTGAGGACATATATTCAACATTCTTAAAGAAAAGAAACCAATAATTTCACATCCAGCCAAAAAAAAAAACTTCATTAGTGAAAGAGAATTAAGATCCCATTCAGACAAGTAAATGTTAAGAGAATTTATTACTACTAGACTTGCCTTAGGAGAGGTTAGTTAGGGAGTGCTAAATATGGAAACAGACCATTACCGGCTACCACCAAAACATACTTAAGTACACAGACCATTGACACTATAAAGCAATTACACAATTAAGCCTGCATAATATCCAGCTACCAACACAATGACAGGATCGAATCTGCACATATCATTATTAACCTTGAATGTAAATGGGCTAAATGCCCTAATTAAAAGGCATAGAGTGGCAAGTTAAATAAAGATGAAAGACCAAACTGTATGCTATTTTCCAGGGATCCATCTCACATGTAATAACAACCATAGGCTCAAAGTAAAGGGAAGGAGAAAATCTACCAAGGAAACAGAAAACAAACAAACAAAAAGCAGGAATTGCTATTCTAATTAAAGACAAAAAAGAATTTAAACCAACAAAGATCACAAAAGACAAAGAAGGACATTACAAAATGATAAAGGGTTCAATTCAACAAGAAGGCTTAATTATCCTAAGTATATATGCAACCAAAACAAGAGTACTCAGATTTATAAGTTCTTAGAGCCCCACAAAGAGACTTAGATAACTGCACAATCATAGTGGGGGACTTCAACACTCCACTGGCACTATTAGAAAGATCATTGAGGCACAAAACTAACACAGATATTTGGGAATTGAACTCACACTTGACCAAATGAACCTAATATAAATTTACAGAACTCCACTCAAAGACAACAGAATGTACATCCTTCTCATTTGCACATGGTACATACTCTAAAATTGACCACAGTTGACTATGACCCTTCTCAGCAAATTCAGAAAAAAACACAAAATTATACAAACTATGTGCTCAGACCACAGTGCAATAAAATGGAAATAAATACTAAGAAGACTGCACAAAACTGTATCATTACAAGGAAATTGAACAACCTGCTCCTGAATGACTTCTGAGTTAACAATAAAATTGAGGCAGAAATCAAGAAATTCCTTGGATCTAATAGAAGCAAAGATGCAACATACCAGAATCTCTGGGACACAGCTAAAGCAGTGTAAAGAGGGAAGTTTACAGTGCTAAATATCTACATCAAAAAGTTAAAAAGATCTCAAATTAACAACCTAACATCACACATTGAAGAATTACAAAAAACAAGAGCAAACTAACCCCAAAACTTGCAGATGACAAGAAATAACCAAAATCTTAGCTGAGTGAAATGAAATCCAGTTGCAAAAAATCATAAAAGAGATCAATGAAACAGAAGATGGTTATTTAAAAGAATAATAAGATTGATAAGACTGATAGACCACTAACTCGACTGATATAGAAAAAAAGAGAGAATATCCAAATAAACACAATCAGAAATGTGAACGGGAACATTATCATCAAGCCTACAGAAATACAAAAAAACCCTCAGAAACTATTACGAACACCTCTATGCACACAAACTAGGAAACCTAGAAGAAATCGATAAATTAGTGGAAACATCCCACTTATCAGTATGGAAACAGGAAGAAATTGAAACACTGAACAGACCAACAATGAGTGCCAAATTGAATTATTAATAAAAAGCCTACCAACCAGAAAAAGCCCAGTACCAGATGGAGTCACAGTCAAATTCTATCAAATGTATAGCAAGTTGGTACCATTCCTACTGAAACTATTCCAAAAAATTGAGGAGGAAGAGCTCCTCCCTAGCTCATTCTATGAGGCCAGCATTATTCTGATATCAAAACCTGGCAGACACACACACACACACACACACACACACACACACACACACACACACAGAAAATCCTCAGGACAATATCCTTGATGAACATATACACAAAAATCCTGAACAAAACACCAGCAAACCAAATTCAGCAGCTCATTAAACTTCTAATTCACCACAATCAAGTAGGCTTTGAAAGTTTAGTTAAACATACGCAAATCAATAAATGTGATTCAGTACCTAAACAGAAGGAAAAACAAAAATCATATGATCATCTCAATAGATGCAGAAAAGGCTTTCAGTAAAATTCAGCATCCCTTCGTGTTAAAAAAAGAAAAAAAAACCCAGGCCTGGTGCGGTGGCTCACACCTCTAATCCCAGCACTTTGGGAGGCCGAGGCGGGCAGATCACAAGGTCAGGAGACTGAGACCATCCTGGCCAACTTGGTGAAACCCCATCTATTAAAAAAAGTATAAAAATTAGCTGAGCGTGGTAGCAGGCGCCTGTAGTCCCAGCTACTCGGGAGGCTGAGGCAGGAGAATCGCTTGAACCCAGGAGGCGGAGGTTGCAGTGAGCTGAGATCAGCCATTGCACTCCAGCCTGGGTGACAGAGTGAGACGACATCTCAAAAAAAAAAAAAAACAAAAAACGAAAAACAAAAAAAAAAACCCACAACAAAGCAGGCATTGAAGGAACATACCTCAAAATAATAAAAGCCATCTATGAGAAACCCACACCCAACATCATCCTGAATGGGCAAAGGCTTGAACCATTCTCCTTGAGACTGAAACAAGACAAGGATGCCCAGTCGCAACACTCTTATTCAACTCAGTGCTGAAAGTCCTAGCCAGAGAAATCAGACAAGAAAGAAATGAAAGGCATCCAAATGGAAGAGACAAAGTCAAACTATCTCTGTTTGCAGATGATATGGTTTTATACTTAAAAAACTCCACAGTCTCTGCACCAAAGCTCCTTGATTTGATGAAAAACTTCAGGAAGGTTTCAGGATTAGAAACTCAATTCACAAAAATCAGTAGTGTATTTATATACCAACAATGCCCCAGCCCAGTTCCATATCAAGAATGCCATCACATTCACAATAGACACACAAAAATTAAATTCCTAGGAATACCGCTAAACAGGGAGGTGAAAGGTGTCTACAAAAAGAATGACAAAACACTGCTGAAAGAAATCCGAGATGATAAATGAATGGAAAAACATTCCATGCTCATGGATAGGAAGAATTAATATTGTTAAAATGACCATACTGCCCAAAGAAATGTACAGATTCAATGCTATTTATATCAAACTACCAATGACATTCTTCACAGAATTGGAAAAAAAACTATGCTAAAATTTACATGGAATTAAAAGAGGGGCTGAATATTCAAGGCAATCCTAAGAAGAAGAAGAACAGTTGAGTCATTGCATAACTCAACACCAAACAAACTACAAGGCTACACTTAACAAGAAAGCATGATAGCAGGACAAAAACAGACACATGACCAATGCAACAGAATACAGAGCCCAGAAATAAAGCCGCACACTAATAATTGTCTGCTCTTTGACAAACTCTACCAAAACAAGCAACGGGAAAGGACTCAAATTCAGTAAATGGTGCTGGAAATACAGGCTAGCCATACGCAGATGATTGAAACTGATGTAAATAATATTAAAACTTCTTAATATCATATACAAAAATCAACTCAACATAGATTAAAGACTTAAGTGTAAAACCAAAAATTATAAAAATACCTGAAGAAAACCTAGGAAATGCCATTCTGGACATAGGTCTTGGCAAAGATTTCTTGATGAAGTTGCCGAAAGCAGTTGCAACAAAAACAAAAATTGACAAATGGACCTAATTAAATTAAAGGGTTTCCGCATAGCAAAAGAAACTATCAACAGAGTAAACAGACAGCCCGCAGAAAGGAAGAAAATATTTGCAAACTGTGCATCTGACAAAGGCCTAATATCCAAAATCTGTATGTAACTTAAACAAATTTACAAGCAAAAAACAATTATAAAGGATATGAACAGACACTTTCCAACAGAAGACATACACGCAGCCAACAAATATATGAAAAAAAGCTCAATATAATTAATCATTAGAGAAATGCAAATCAAAATAACAATGGGATACCATCTCATACCAGTCAGAATGGCTATTATTAAAAAGTCAGAAAATAATAGATGCTGGCAATATTGCAGAAAAAAGGGAATGCTTACATATTGTTGGTAGGAATGTAAATTTGTTTGGAAAACTTGGAAAAGCAGTTTGGCAACTTCTCAAAGAACTTAAAATAGAACTACCATTAGACCCAACAATTCCATTATTGAGTATATATCCAAAGGAATATAAGTTGTTTTACCGTAAAGAATCATATGCAACTATGTTCCTCACAGTGCTGTTCACAATAGCAGAGACATAAAATCAACCTAAATGTCATTCAATGACAGACTGGATAAAGAAAATGTGGTACATGTATTTAATGGAATAAAATGCAGCCATAAAAAAGAATGAGATCATGTCCTTTGCAGAACATGGATGGAGCTGGAGGCCATAAACCTAAACAAATGAATGCAAGAATAGAAAAGCAAATATTGCATATTCTCATTTATAAAAGGAAGCGAAATATTGAGCACACTTGGAAGGGAACAATAGACTCCAGAGTCTACTTGAGAGTGGAGGGTGAGAGGAAGGTGGGCATTCAAAAACTACCTGTTGGGTACCATGCTTATTCCCTGAGCAGTGAAATTACCTTTATACCAAACTCCCATAATTCACAATTTATCTATATTACAAATCTCCACATGTACCACTGAAACTTAAGTAAAATTTAAAAAAAAAAGTTTGGACCTATAATGTAATAAAACTTTTTGACTTTCAGAAGAACCAAGTGAATATTCAGTTTTGTCAATATCTTGCTTGAGCATACTAACTGGTTATTTTTCCAGGGTCTCAGTTATGAATAAAGCAATAGGTATTTTGTTTTCTGTGGGGTCCGTCCCTCAGACCCTGACCCAGCAACAGATGAGAGACATACACTGACAGATATTCTGCCTGTCAGCATGGCTAAGGGGCTCCGCTGCCTAAATTTGCAGCATAGGCCTCAGTAAGCCAGCGAAGTTCACATTTATTTAGTACAGATTAAATGACAAAGGCTTTGAGTCAACACATCTGTGGGTAATTAAACTCGTTGTCCTCCCCCAAGAGATAGCCATCCTGCCAGTGAATGATCAAAGGTTGGTCTTAGGACCACATGAGTAAATAAGCTATTTAGATAAACTCCCTTACATTCCTTTGTGCCTACTGTAACCTATTAACTCAAGGTAAGAGGATAAGGCTGCCTTCAGCCAAATCTTTTACTGACGCTATGCAAACGTCCCGGCCTTCAAGGTAGGTTTGTGTCTATTTCATATAACTATCTTTATAGTTTTTCTTCTATAATTTTTCCCACAACGCTGACTGAACTCCCATAGTTTTCCCTAAAATATAAAATAAATAAAAAGAATAATGAGCTGAAAAAATGACATTAATTTCAAAAGATCAAAAGTAAGGCTGACATCCATCTGAAATTTTTTTTGTTTTATTTTTATTTCAAGTTCCGGAGTACATGTGCAGGATGTGCAGTTTTGTTACATAGCTAAACATGTGCCATGGTGATTTGCTGCACCTATCAAACATCAACTAGGTATTAAGCCCAGCATACATTAGCGATTTTTCCTCATGCTATCCTTCACCCCAGTCCCTGACAGACCCCAGTGTGTGTTGTTCCCCTCCCTGTGTTCAAGTGTTCTCATTGTTCAGCTCCCACTTATAAGTAAGAACGTGTTGTAACTGGTTTCCTGTTCCTACATTAATTTGCTGAGGATAAGGGCTTCTGGCTCCATCCGTGTCCCTGCAAATGGCATGATCTCATTCCTTTTTATGGCTGCATAATATTCCATGGTGAATATATACCACATTTTTTTTATCCAGTCTATTATTGATGGGCATTTGGCTTGATTCCATGTTGTTGCTATAAATAGTGCTGCAACGAACATATGCGTGCATGTATCTTTGTAATAGAATGATTTATATTCGTTTGGGTATATACCCAGTAATGGGATTGCTGGGTCAAATAGTATTTCTGGTTCTAGATCTTTGAGGAATTGCCATACCTTCTTCCACAATGGTTGAACTAATTTACATTCCCACCAACAGTGCAAAAGCATTCCTATTTCTCCACAACTTCTCCAGCATCTGTAGTTTCTTGACGTTTTAATAATTGCTACTCTGACTGACGTGAGATGGTATCTCATTGTAGTTTTGATTTGCATTTCTCTAAGGATCAGTGATATTGAGCTTATTTTCATATGTTTGTTGGCCATATGAATGTCTTCATTTGAGAAGTGTCTGTTCATGTCCTTTGCCCACTCTTTAACGGGGTTGTTTGTTTTTTCTTGTAAATTCAAGTTCCTCATAGATTCTGGATATTAGAGCTTTGTCAGATGGATAGATTACAAGAAGTTTCTTCCACTCTGTAGGTTGCCTATTTGCTCTGATGATAGTTTCTTTTGCTGCACAGAAGCTCTTTAGTTTAATTAGATCCCATTTGTCAATTTTTGCTTTTGTTGCAATTGCTCTTGGCGATTTTGTCATGAAATCTTTGACTGTGCCTATGTCCTCCATGGTACTGCCTAGGTAGATTAAAGACTTAAATGTAAAACCCAAAACTATAAAAACCCTATAAGGACGTCTGAATTTTCAAAGACAAAATTGAAAACACAAACAATGGAATGCTGTACCTCATGTTCTTCTCGCCTAGAATTAAATACACTAAGTATTCTTCACATCAGAAGACAAAATAAATCTATTTCCAGATAAACCATTGTGGAATAAATTGCTTATAGCCTCAAATTAAGACAGATTAAATTGAGTGCTTTACCCCTGCCCTCTCCAATAAAAAGGATTCCAGGTAGAATCATGGTAATGCAGAAAGAAAGAGGAATAATGAAAATTGAATATGGCACTAAATGTATGTAAATATTTACTTACAAAAATAATTGCAATGCATTTTGGAAGTTAAATTATATGTTGATTTAAAACATGTTAAATATATGTAAAATGGTGCTAAAACCTGGGGGAGGTAATAGCTATATATAGTGCCTTAAGAATTACTGTTAGAAAAAAGAAAATTAATATTTATATTATAATGTACTAAGTAAAGAATGTATCTTTATATGATTTATCAAATAAAAATATATAAAATTATTTTATTTTAAAGACTTTTACATCTAATATTAAAGTAAAATGATAAATTAAAATGAAGTATTTGATCAATCTAAAAGGAGGCCAACAAGGAGAAACAAAAGGAACATAAAATAGATATGTCATATGGACAGAAAATAGTGAGAAGTAGATATGAAACCAAATGTATCACCAATCACATTACAACAATGTGAATTAGAAATTACAATAAAAAATTAATATTGCAAACTGGAGGTTTAAAATGTTGCTTCCAAAAGATGACATTAAATACAAGGAAACAAAATATTTGGAAGTAAAATGATGGAACAAGATAAACCATATTTGATAAAGAATGTTGGTGTAGCTATATTAATATTAGGTATAGTAGGCTGTAAGAGATGATGCATTACTTTTGGCAAAAAGTGACGTTTTATATTTTTGAGAGGTCAATCTGCTATAAAGATATAACACGTCTAAATTTGTATGCACCCAATCAATACGGAATCAGTCAAAACATATAAGATGACACTGGGGTATGCCACTATGATCCTCCTGCAAATGTGGACTTTCTGACCCCAATTTCTGCAAATGAATCTTCAACTACAAGCCCATACATCTACTTCTTTTGCAGATGACCCTTCTCAGATTATCCACATCCAATGACTGGTCAATGAACATGAACAATTTTGGCCCTACTCAGGACTACTCTAAGTGATTATTATTACTCCTGAGTTTCCCTGAGGTTGGCTAAAGCCGTTGTTGAATTTACACTGCAGCTTAAATTCTTCTTCTGCCTAGCTTTGCTTTGTTTCTCTCCTTTTCACAGGTTTTGGTCCCAAGGGTGTAATTCAATCAACCTCCTCCACCTAAACCTAGTCTCAGAGTCTGAATCATAGAGAACCAAATTTATAACAATGAATAAGGCAACAGTTGGCAAAAATTAAAAGAGAATTTGGCAAATCCACAGCAATAGTGGAAGACTTCAACATACCACTTGCAATGGCCAGAAAAACAAATCAGTAGAAAATCAGTTTTCTAAGGTAAAATTGTACCAACAAAGAAAGCATACATATTATTTTTAAAGTATCGATAGTACTTTCCCAAAGCTGATCTTATGCTGCCTAATAAAGCAAGTTTCATCTAATTTCCAATAATTTATAAAATCAGGACATGTTTTCAACTAAGTTGCAATTAAACTAGTAATTGAAAAAAATTAATTATATTACTTTATAAAATATAATCTGTGGGTCAAATGTGATATAACAACAGAAATTAGAAAGGATTTTGAGCTGCATAAAACTAAAACATTTAACATATTGGAATTTACTTCAAGGAAACTGTATAGGTTTGAATAGATTTGTTAGATTAGATGAAAAAATAAAAATTACTAACAGAATTTTCTATCTTTATAAGCTGACTATATCACAGCAATCAAACTCAAATAAATATAGAAAGGAGAAAATAATTTTAAAAAGTAAGAACAAAAATTATAACACAGATAAATATGCAATAATAGAAAATAGCAAAGCCAAAGTTTACTTTGAAATATTAATAAAGTTATTAAGGCCTAATTAAAGTGAGAGGAAGATAAGGAAATAAAAACTTTCAATAGAGGAAGGGAAAGAAATAAAAACTTTCGATATCAGAAATAGAAAAAGGGATATTATTATAGAAATTAATGTTATTAAAAGATGATGAAAGGATATTAGAAACAGCATTTAATAGGAATTTCACCTGTTAAGTGATATGAACAAATCGTTTCCGTAACAGAACTTACAAAAATGGCCTAAGAAGAAATAAAAGTGAGATATTCTTGTATTTGCTAAAAAAATCATTTTCTAAAACAATTTCTCCCGAAATAGTTCAGACCCCACTAGTGCTTTTATTTATTTATTTATTTATTTATTTTTTGAGACGGAGTCTCGCTCTGTTGCCCAGGCTGGAGTGCAGTGGCGCGATCTCGGCACACTGCAAGCTCCGCCTCCCGGGTTCACGCCATTCTCCTGCCTCAGCCTCCGGAGTAGCTGGGACTACAGGCGCCCACCACCATGCCTGGCTAATTTTTTGTATTTTTAATAGAGACGGGGTTTCACCGTGTTAGCCAGGATGGTCTCGGTCTCCTGACCTCGTGATCCGCCCGCCTTGGCCTTCCAAAGTTCTGGGATTGCAGGCGTGAGCCACCGCGCCCAGCCCAGACCCCACTAGTGTTATTAATCTACATAAACTCTACCAAGAAATAGAAAAATTCGGAATACTTCCCAACAGATTTCAATAGGCATGAAATATCTTGATACTTCAAAAAGTATTTCAATAAGCAAAAGCCTATTCTCTTACACTAATTTATATATAAAAGTCCAAAAAATAATTACCAAATTGAATACTATTTTGTATAAAAATAATAATACATCAAAGCCAGTTTGAGTTTACCCAAGGGTTGCAAGACTCATTTAGCATTATAGTACCAATGTAATGTAGCTTATTAAAAGAAAATGAAGAGAAAAATCACACAATCATTTTTAAAAGCCTATTAATTATATCATAAAATTCAACACACATTCCAGATTAAGCAAAACAAACCTCACACATTTAAAAACCTTAACAAACTAGGAATATAATGGGGTTTCTTTTACATGATAATCAGTATCCACAGAAAAACTTACAACAGTTATTTAATGGTGGAATGTTTACACATTAAGACTGGAAATGAAACAGAGAAATAAACTATCACCATTTCTATTCCCATCCTATTGGAAGTCCTGGATACTTAAATAAGTTAAAACCAAAACAAAGAATGGATATAATGATTGAAAGAGAAAAAATTAACCTGTCAATATTTACATATGACATTTTGTGTATTTTGAAAATCCAAAAAGATTACAGACAACAGTTATTAATATTAATTTAGTGAAATTACTGAATACGAAGTAAAATGTACTCATAAATATGCAACTGCAAGTTCATTCAAAAGAAGACAATGTATAATCCCCTGGTAAGTACAGACCCTCACAGACGAGATGTCCATAGTTGGAGGAGGTTGTGGAGCAAAAAAGGACAAATGACCACAAGGCACACACTGAAGGCCAGGAATAACATTTGTTGGGAAAATGTTTCAGAGAGAAAAGCAGTGGCAGGTGCTTGGTTTGTCCTCAATACACACTGAGGAAATAATCAAGGATAATTGCAGGTTGGACATCAGATTTTGAAAGAGTGAAACTCATCCTTAGGCTGTAAAGCTTACAGTACGCATGATTAGGACAGCACCAGGCTTATAGGATACAAGACTTGGTTACCAAAGGCTAAAATTATATGACACTGTAGACTCTCACCTTCTGCTCTGCTCAACTAATTTGGCAAACACTGATTGAGAATCATCTCTGTGCCTGGTATAAATGGGGATTCAAATTTTTTTTTTTTTTTTTTGGACTTTCACTCTTGTCGCCCAGGCTGGAGTGCAATGGCGCGATCTCGGCTCACTGCAATCACCATCTCCCAGGTTCAAGCGATTCTCCTGTCTCAGCCTCCTGAGTAGGCACACCTGGCTAATTTTTGTATTTTTAGTAGAGACGGGGTTTCACCGTGTTGGCCAGGCTGGTCTTGAACTCCTGACCTCAGGTGATCCGCCCCCCCTCAGCCTCCCAAAGTGCTGGGATTATAGGCGTGAGCCACCATGCCTGGCCCAGGGATTAGAATGTAAACTTGTGATATTTTGGAAAAAAACATGGGACCCAGTCCTGTTCTACAACTTCAGAATTCATGGTTGAGGAAGTGGCAGTCCCTCACCTGTCACTATTAGGGAACTGAAGTCCAAGTCTTGCAGCTTTCTCTGTATTATATCATGAACCAGTGGCACCCAGCCTTTACTTGCCACCTCTGCATTAGACCAGGATTCACTGACTCATGCATTTGGTTGCGTCTGTGCTTTAGTATGCAGGTATCATTTCTGAAATGGCCTTGCTCTGAAGGTGGCAAAAGTGCAATGGATTAGTTTTGAACATGTTAAATCTTAACTCCAGATATGATTTAAAATCCAAATTAAGAGCATCCGAAAATGTGGTAGGAAGAAGAGCATCTTAAAATCCAGATAAGCATCCAGTAGATGTGTCAGTACAATACATCATACTCTGAGGCATTGGGATGTGGAATCAGTCTCATTCTTCAGGATGGAAGATAATGAAAGTAGAGCTATCCAATTTTTACAGAAAGGGTCTAGGATATTAGTCAGATAACTAAAGTAGACATTTGGGAATAAAGAGTAAGACCAAAGATTAGTTTGCAAGTTTATTTCTGTCATGGAATTTTAAACGGTAAACAGATTGAATTATTTGAAATCAAATCATTCCTTTGAATAGAATTAAAATGTGGAAGGATTTGCTGTTGAGACACATAAAGTGAGGCTTGGTCTACCCGAGTACCTAAAAATTCCAGAGCTAATTTACAGAAACTGAAAAAATAGTTTGGTTGAAAGAGAAGAACTGAGTATTCTCGTTGGAAACGTGAAGATTGTGTGACCCTCAAGGTTCCGCCTTGACTTTGTCATATGAGTCACTATGCCTACCTAGGTTATTTCACCTTAAAAAGATCTAAATTATTCAGCTTAGTAAATTATGAAAATAACTAATGACCAGTAAATTATGTAATTATCGAATTTCATCGTTTATCTAAAACTGGGTATTACACACACACACACATCATTAGTGAGATAAACCATCTAAATATTTCCCTGGGTTACATTAAGCATGTGCTTACTTTATGATATCATGTAGTAATTAAAATCGAATTTCTAAAATTGTATGGTATTCTATTATTTGTATTTAATGATTACATTAGATTAAAAATGTGGAGACTTAAATCCAAATTCTTAATTGTGACTGCAATTAGATTAAAGGCTATTGGGAAAGATGTATTTCCCGTCATAAATTTAGTGGTATTTCTTATTTTAGATAGATGAGGCATGTACAATTAAATGACCATTAAATTCTAAGCTTAGGAAGCAGAAATACCCTCATTAAGTTACTGTTAATGGCCTGTTATTTTTTACTATGGAGCTCTATTTGAAAAACATCACAGATATTTTTACTATCATCAGAGGACACTTACAAACAAGTACCTAAATAAGGATGAATACTACACCAAAGTTAAAGTATTGATACAGCCTCTCCTTTTTGTGAGAGTATAAAATATCAGCTTAAAAGAAAGAACTGTAATTATTGATTCATCTCCAAGGAGAAGTATTTAAGCTTATGTTCCTTGTTTCATGTACAAATTCGTAAAAGTCTGAATTCTGCAATTTATAGCTTCAGGAGAAAACACAAAATCAACACACAATAACAAGTGCAACTTTTAATTATTATCATTAAGTTGCCTGCTTCTTTAGGCTGGCAAGACTCTTCAATATTATTAGTCTGACTGAGCTGCTGATCCTGCTAGTCACTGCTGATCATTATTTTATTTTATTTGGTAAATGTCTATGACAGTTTTACTGCAGGCTGAAAGCAGAATTGATCCTAGCCCTAGTTTATTTAGACTATCTTTCCAAAGGATACAGACTTTCCCCATTAAGAGGAACTTTGAAGAGAAATCAAATTAAGAACAATTTTATTTCAATCTAAAACTCTTGTTCCTGCAACTTCTCTCATTATACAACTCTTTAGAGTAGGGTATTCATTAAAAAAAGAAAAATTTTTAAAGTAAACATTTTATTAATCATCAAATTTTTCACTTACATAACCTCAAGATGATTTTAAGTTCTCTCATTCTATTTTGAATTTCATGTTTAAAAACAAGTCCAAATGGTATGGAACACTGCATCCTGGGGCATCATTGCACCTGCAGTAGGAATCTGTTAACTTCAATGTAGCTTTTAAAACTTCAGCAATTACAATGTATCTGCACATTTACTAAAATAAGTTTTTCAAGGGCAGGGCTCACATTCTTTTCCTTAACTTATTTATATTGTATGAAATGGGATGGATGCTTACATTGTTGCAGGTACTATATTAGTAGTTAAATATACATATGACAATATCTATGGTCTCAAAGGCAAATGAAGAGCCATTTATCAACATCTGTGAAAAATCTTTTAGTAGACACATGAATAGTATGCTAGAGAAGCACATTTAAGCATGTTACCAAGAACGGAAAGACAAAGAGCAGCTGTCTTAGGAGGATGGTGGTGGCTTCATTGAGACTAAACACATATATAGAAGTTTGTCAAGTGAAGATCACTGTTTCCACTAAAGAGTTGAGGTAACAGCCTGAGTGAAGCCCTGAGACATGGGACATCATAAAAGTAAGAAAGCTACTGAAGTAATTCTGTTTAAAGATTATTTGTGCAGGAACTAAGTTAATGATAATGGAAGTACAATGAAGGGATTGGATTAAAGAGATCTTAAGATATAAGAATGACATAATTTAGTGACTGGAGGTAGGGGATTAGTCAGAGGTAGTAGCCAATGATAGCTCAGCTTTAATATCGAGCAACTGGCCAGATGAAGTATCATTTAATGAACATGGAAATAAATACATGAGAAAGAAGATGATGTGGTCAGTTTGGGAACACTTACGGGTTATCATTTAATAAGCACCTTGGGCCAGAAGTTCAAGCATGGCATCCAAGCTAAAGGTACATGCAAGTAGTATATTTGCATATAGTAGTAAACAAATGGAGAGTAATGGGAAGAAATCTAAAAAGGTACACCCAGAAAACACTAGGCATAGGATACAGAAAAAGAACTGCTTTCATGAAGACTTCTCAAAAGCAAAGTAGGAATGGATTCTACTAAAGCAGAAAGTAGAAAATGGAGTCTCAAGAAGTAAGGGATGGTCAGTCACAATTCTGAAGGCAACAAGAGGCACACAATATTTGATAATTTGTAGGTAATTTAGCAAAACAGTAGTTCACAAAGGTGTGGGCAATATGCAAAAAAATAGAAGGCATAGTGCAGTAGTACCCTCCAATAGGATGTGTGGGTCACCATTAAGGCACACACCCTGTGACTTAAGGGGCAAACTGGAGAGGGGCCACCTGACAGAGTCTCTGTGACTGACTCATTCTCCTCCCTCCCACAAGTCTTCTGCCCACACACCCTACTGACTAAACCTAATTGGAAGGTAGAAGGCAAGAAAAGAGTCCATATCGTTTATCCTCTTCTAGTACATAGCAGGATGGAAGGATATTACGTGAACTGTGAGGTGTAAATAGAACATAAGAGTCATCAAAGTAGAATGCCACAGATATAGGACAGAATTTCAGAAAACACTTTCAGGATATAGTTACTAAATGATCATTAGTAACCTTAATGAGATTTATTAAAAAGTGAGTACAGATAATTTTCTGTCTCAGTTAATACATTCTAGAAAAGCCTATTCAATAAACTTAAAAATATATAATTATTAAAATATCAAGAAAGGTGACAAGTGGAAGCAAGCTGAACATTGATAAGTATACTTTCCTTCTTTATTATTATCAAAAGATGGATATAAACAAGGAAATACAATACGGTCACATCCCTCATAAGGATGTTTTGGTCAAAAAGGAACCACACATACAACACTGAGGCTATGAGATTATAATGGAGCTGCCCAATACTAGGTGTGCCATTTATAATATTTTATGGTGTATTTTTACTGTACCTTTTCTATGTTTAGATACACATATATTACCATTGTGATACAATTGTCTACAGTATTCAGTACAGTAACATGCTGTATAGGTTTGTAGCCTAGAAGCAATCGATTATACGATATAGCCTAGGTGTGCAGTAGCCTATACCATTTAGGTTTGTGTTTGCACACAACAAAATCCTCTAATGACATATATCTCAGAACATATTTCCATTATTTGGTAAGGCAGGATTGTGATACTTTTCACATAGAATGAATAAATGTAATAGGGTTTTCTTTTTCTTTTTACATTTCCTTTTAGTCAGACTATGTTAACAACAGGGAGATTGAGAGACTAAATAAAATAAAAAGAACTGGACAAAAAGATTTTCTTACTTTATCATTCTGATTCTAATAACTAATAACTCTCAGCAAACTCAAAGTACCATTGACACTTGAAAAAATTGCGCGCTAGGGGTGCCAATCCTCATACAGTCATAAATCCATGTATAACTTGTAATTCTCCAAAAATCCAACTATTAATAGTCTACTGTTGACTGCAAGCCTTGCAACATAAACAGTCAGTTAACACATATTTTGTATGCTATATATATCATATACTATATTCTGACAATAAAGTTAGTTAGAGAAAAAAGAAGTCACTAAGAAAATCATAAAGAAGAGAAAATATATTTACTATTCATTAAATGAAAGTGGATTATCATAAAGGTGTTTACCCTCATTATTGTCATATTGAATAGGCCAAAGAGGAGGAAGAAGTGGAAGAGTTGGTCTTAGTGTCTCAAGCATGGCAGAGGCAGAAGAAAATTCACGTATAAGTGGACCCATGCAGTTCACACCCAAGTTATTCAAGGGACAACTGTAAATCTTTTGTACTTTGCAGTTCACCTTTACCTGCTATCTGTTATTGTCATTAACTCACATTGAGTTTGCATTATGGGTAACAGGGTAAAATTACTGAAGTATTTTGTAAATCCAATGTTCTCACATTGACAAAGCTACAATTATGATAGAACACACAGGATGACTGTATCAAAATTTAATAACCTTTCAACAATTTGGCTAAAAGTGGATTATCAATTCAGTTAAATAATCAGTCAGTTTTATCAAAATGTTAAAAGTAATAGTGTTTATTTTTAAAAATTTGCAAAAGTCAAATTTTGATAATGACAAATTATTAAAATTATGATTTAAAAGTAAATATCCTAATTTTTTTCAATAGAAAATTTAACTCCATTTTGTTTGCTAATTGGTTTATTTTATGCCTAGTCACAGTGTTTGATTAGGTCAGAAATTACATTGTGCTGAGCAAATAGGTCATTACCTCTATAAAAATAGAGATGGCAAAGTTCTGGTAAAGCAAGGGGTCCCATGTCTTTCTGGCTAAAACAAATTTTAGCAATTAAAAGGCCAGGTTCATTATTTAATATAGAAAATATATTTAAAAAATGGAACAAAGACAAATACTACCAGGTCTAAGGCAAAATGACCAGGTGTGGTAGGAACAGAAAATTGAGATGTAATTCATCTCTTAGATAACTCTTTGCCAATCATTTTATCAATCATGAACTCCATCATATATATTAAATACCAAATAAACAGAAACAATCAAGTTGAGTCATCCTTATTTCTGCCTTTTAATATCGTAACACTTGGATTCTTGCATATATTTTGTTAATAATAATTTATGGCTGAGTAATCTGCATGGTTTAAAACTATATAATTATTATCTGTAATTGTAGATACAACTCCATACATACAGAGTGATATTAAGTTTAATATAGTTTCTATTTCACTTGATTATCTGTAATAAATAATTTTAGATTGTTACATATTTCCAATTGTGCTTTTCCATGTCCGTATTAACATCTCTGTTCCTGTCAGTACATTTATAGTTATTTAACCTACCTGTAAGTTAAAACACATTTTGTATTCTTATATGTCACTGCTACTAAAGAAACCACATGATGTAAACTTGAACATAAGTTTAATATTAAAATGCATGCAGTAAGACACTAGTGATGTGACTTATAAATAAACAATTCCACAGGTATCCTTATGTGTTATGTTCTATTAAGCCTATATAATCTGATTTGATTTGAAGTAAAACAACTGCTGTGGCACAGTTCATATGGAAAGGGGTGTTAGTTCATTTCTGGAACAACAGATGATTGCATTTTTTTTCTGGTCTTTAGAAACTCATATTTGAATGGAAATTTTAAACATCATCTATATACTTTTTTTTTTTTGAGACAGAGCCTCGCTCTGTTGCCCAGGCTGGAGTGCAGTGGTACAACCTCAGCTCACAGCAACCTCCACCTCCTGGTCTTAAGTGATTCTTGTGCCTCAGCCTCCCGAGTAGCTGGGATTACAGATGTGCACCACCATGCCCGGCTAGTTTTTTGTATTTTTTGGAGAGATAGGGTTTTGCCGTGTTGGCTAGGCTGGTCTCAAACTCCTGACCTCAAGCAATCTGCCCACCTCGGCCTCCCAAAGTGCTGGGATTACAGGCATGACCCACCACCCCCGGTCTGTATACTTTTAACAAATAATCAACTTTACATTACTCTTGTCAGGCCCTGTATTTAAAAATGTATATGGGCCAGGAGCTGAAAAACATTGTGGAAAATTCCATAGGCCAGTTTAGTACTGCAAAATACTGACTGATTAGGATGTTATTCTATAATATGTATAAAAGAAAAAAACGAAAACAAATTTAGGTCCAAAAACAAGATAAAAGGGAAAAGTTGAAGGGTGGGGTTGAAGCATTATGCTTTCTGGTGCTGCACATGTTGGTAGCAACAAATATGATACCGCAGTACTAAATGTGGTTTCAAAATAAGTCAGTAGCAAGGCTCATTGCATGCATGTATGTCTAAATTGAGATTATTTGATTTTGAAAATATGTTGAAAACCCCCCAAAAAATCCCTCTGTCGACCACCACCAAATCTACTGTGTATATGAGGCTGCAGGCCTAACAAAATACCTTACCTCATCATCAGGAGCTTGACCATTTCATCTGTTGGATGGATCTATAAGATCCTTGTTATCACCATAGAAGCCTAGAATACAATCTAAGAACTTTAGGTTGATGGGAGTGCCAGGGGCTGGATGGAAGCAAAGGCAAAACAACCAACACGGAATGAAGACCACAAAGGGAAAGGGGAAAACAAAACAACACATTATCAAAGAACATAAGCAATCCTTAGTCAAAATTCTAAAACTTGCAGACAAATAGAATATTAGGAAAGGCAAAAACATCAATTATAATATTAATTTACTTCAAATATTTATGAAGAAATATGTTCCATAAAAATAGAATATTAAATGTTAGATATTATAACAGATAAATGAAATGAGAACAGTTGTACATGAGACATTAGTACATTAGATATTCAGAAATTAAAATATAGAGAAAACTGGCCAGGCATGGTGGCTCATGCCTATAATCTCAGCACTTTGGGAGGCCGAGGCAGGTGGATCACTTGAGGTCAGGAGTTGGAGACGAGCCTGGCCAACACAGTGAAACCCTGTCTCTACTAAAAATACAAAAATTAGCCAGGCATGGTGGCGGGCGCCTGTAGTCCCAGCTACTTGGGAGGCTGAGGCAGGAGAATCGCTTGAACCCAGAAGGCAGAGGTTGCAGTGGACAGAGATCGTGCCACTGCATTCCAGCCTAGGCAACAGAGATTCTGTCTGAAAAATAAAATAAAATAAAAATAAAAATACAGAAAAAACAGAGAGGTAGTCACAATTTTAGAATTCTAGAATATGACAAAATACAGACAAGACATGGTTGAAGAGCTACTTGGTTAATTACAAAATAAATCTGAGTTTTTAAATAAAAAATCAGATTCATACTACTTCTAATATAAAATAAATTAACAGAGAAGTGCTTAGTAAATATAAGTTTAGTAAATAGTAAATGAATAATAAATCCATTTCAGGTAGATTAAAGATCTAGTGAAAGGTACAGGGATCAAAAAAGTTTGATAAATCCTGACATCAAATAAAAATATAGACAAAAGTAAAAAAAATTAGCACATGGAATAACAAGAGTGATATTCCGAATACAAACAAAATTTCTATATTGTATATTAAGTAGAAAAGGAAAACAAAGGAAAGTGAGCAAACTTTATGAAAAGGCATTTGATTTATAAGTAGAATAAATACTAAATGCCTACAGATATATAAGTAAGTGTCAGCTACCTCAGTATTAAGGAAGATTACTGTAACACAACAGTGGAAAGCCATTTCACATGGATCTGCTTGGCAGTATTAAAAGGTCTGACAGTATCTATGTAAAAACTCCTCTGCTGGTTTGAAGTGTACTTTAGTACAGTCAATATGGAGACTGATTTGCAAACAGAGGTCAAAAATCCTATCCAAAACCTTTAGGGCCATATGTATTTCTAAACTCGGAAAGACAATAAGATTAATATAATGCATATTATGTGGCAAACCCAGCGGCATATGGAGCAGCACCCTAAAACCACACACTTTATATTAATGAGTTAACTATATTTCTTTATTTTCCTCTGACAATTTGAGATTTCCAGTCATTTCTTTAATTCCTGAAAACCTTCATTCTCTATAGATAAAGACATAGATGGAAAAATCTGGTTATAAATGTAAATAATAGGTAAGTAATAAATGAGAGAAATATCCAAGTACCAAGTAACAAGCTCCTTTTAAAGAGTCATCTATTAGATATTCATTCACTCCCCTCTCCTTTTATCTCTGTTTATCTCATATCTCTCTCTCTCTCAAGTAATTTAAAGAAAGATGCCTGAATGCATATGAATACCAAACTTGAAAAAATGTTCATAGGGGCGTGAGTGTGTGCGTGCATGCATATTATCCATGTGAGTGGCTATCTATAATAATTTAAGACACTTTTTTCTTGTTTATTTATACTGTGCTACCATGCATTTTCACATTTTACATTCAAAAGACCCGGGATGGCCAATTCTAGTGTCAGGCTAACATGTAGGCTCTTTTACTAACTGGCCAGTCTGTTCAGGTAAAATTACAACTCCAGTGGATACACATTGATGGGAGAGCAAAAAAGGAAAAACAGACCAAAGTGGAGAGTATGGGCTTCATTTCTATTATCTAAAAAATAACCAGCAAAACTAAGGATATTCATCTTTTGAAGAATTTAGCAGTACGTCTTATTTTTCTTTTCACCTAGAGATCTAAGCTACATACTTTTTTTCTATTAAGATTTTATTTTTTATGTTGACGTCTTTTTTTTCTTTTTTTTTTTTTTTTTTTTTTTGAGACGGAGTCTCGCTCTGTCGCCCAGGCTGGAGCGCAGTGGTACGATCTCGGCTCACTGCAAGCTCCGCCTTCCGGGTTCACGCCATTCTCCTGCCTCAGCTTCCCGAGTAGCTGGGACTACAGGCGCCCGCCACTGCGTCCAGCTAATTATTTTTGTATTTTTAGTAGAGACGGGATTTCACCGTGGTCTCGATCTCCTGACCTTGTGATCCGCCCTCCTCGGCCTTCCAAAGTGCTGGGATTACAGACATGAGCCACCGCGCCCGGCCTATGTTGACTTCTATATAACTTAATTGAGAAATATAAAATTTTTATCATCTTAATCAGATTTATGTCTTCTCAAGAAGAAATATTGTGACACATAAAAAGTTGAGATAAATGATACAAATATTTTAAAACTAGACAAAAGCAACGAAGTGATCATTAGAGAAGTTACATAGTTTCTTCTCTCTTTATCACTAGGATGCACACTCTTGTTCTTACTTTTTACGGAAATCATACACATGCACACACAAAGTTCGTCACAAGCAGACTAAAAAATTTGATATCATCTTATTGAATTTCTGCAGCTGCATGCTCCTCTAATTGAAAATATGCTTATTTGTATTAGCATTTATCTTACTTCACATGTACTAACATATTTCTTAGACTTTGTAAGAATTATCATAATCTCTTTAGAGACTTCATTAAATTCCATTTTTTGCAGAATTCTTGCTTCTCCCTCTCTTGAGATGTATTTTAAATGAATATATTCTTTCATAGACATGTTTTCTTCACAAATTTATAATAACTTTGGACTCACTGTTAGAAACTTGTGGTGCACATCATTAGAAATTTTAAGACAAAACAGACCTTATAAGAAAAAAATTGAGAAAAATGTTAAAAGGAGCCTTAAAATTCAAGTCTTATACTTCATTAGTCTTATACTTGAATTTAGGTTTAAAAACATGCTCTTAGAAGCCTTGGAATTATATATCACAGAATTATACATGATTATACAATGGGGCATATCTATGAAGAATTATCACTTCTGTTCTCTGAAGAAGGAGTGAACAAAACTAAATATATTAGATCTGCAATTAGAATAAATCAGTATCTCTCAGACAGAAGTCAGTTAGGGTTAAAATGTATGTAAAACATTTCGCCCAGTTTATCTCACATTGAATAATTATTATTCCTATTCTCATTGTTAATATTGTGAGTCCATTGCCGTATGTAAATTGAAATCCACTTTTTTTATTAACAAAAGAAAGCCAACAAATGCTAGTTGTCAAGTGCTTTTCACATGTTATCTTTTGTATTCTGAAAGAAATATGGGTTTTTGGCATCTACTGCATATAAACAAGTTTCAATAAAGATAACTGGGATTTGCCTACTCAGATTATTTTTATGGGATATGTCAACATTTCCAAAGTATTATTTTCCTAAGCATGTCTATTTACAATGGGAATAGAAGACAAAGCTTTATATAACAGAAAGAAATACTGATCAAACATGCATGTGAGACATTTTCTGGAGAAAGCCTGATGCTTTCATAAGATAATGACTTCTGAGAGGGTAAAATAGGATAAAGAAGGTATATAGGTACCAATTCATTTACCTACCTAAGCATACATACATCTATGAATCCATCGAATCCTCTATCCATGCATCCCATTCATTCCTCCATCCATCTATCCATCCATCACCCATCTATCCACCCAGCCATCCTTCCATCCATCCATCCATTACACAATTTCTGGAGCACAAAGTGGGTACATGACCAAAAAAATAGGCAGGTAGTGTCTGATTTCTTTCATATACTTTTTGTCTAGAGAGTGGCCATACAGGTGAAAAGATAAATATGCAATAATCTTTTATGGGAGACAAAAACTTAAAGAACATAGAATAAGAAAAAACTTAACATGGAGAATAAAAGAAAGCTTTTCAGAATAAACGGCATCTGAGATGAGAATTTAAGAATCACTAGAAGCAAAGTAGATAATATTATGTGAGAAGACTATTTCAGACAAAATAAACAACATGTACCAGTGTCAAGAATAAAAAGAGAGCCCGGTGCATTAAAAGACCATAGTTTCCTCTTATTTTTCTTTGTTTCAGCCATGTTTTCTTTGTATTATTCTTCAAACAAAGTCTTCAATCACTTCTGTGCTGCATGTGTAGCTCTTTTACTAGGCATACTGCTTCAAGCTTACTGCTGAAAATGAATTAGTATATGTACTAAAGATTTGGCTCTAACCTCTTTTGACCTAGAAAATCAATTAGTGAATGTTGTAAAGCCTAGCATCATCTGTTTTCAAGTGTTTGAAAGGTGAGTCTATGGTACCAGAAATGATTATCAATTAAAAATTATGAGCATACAGGGCCTTATGGATTATACAAGTCAAACATCACACAGTAATTTAAACATATAGAAAATACATACTTCAAAAATTATGACAACACTATTATAAAGGCCAGTTATATACTCATTTAAAAGGGACAAATATAATATGTGAAATTAGAATACATATATACATATATATATAAACCTGGAAGAGTTGATGTAGATAATTTTCAAACCACAATAAAATTGAATTTTGAAGCAGAGTATATAAAAATTATTGCTGATGTCTCTATCACAAATTTTACATTTCCTAAGAAAGCAACACCAAAAGTGAAACATATCATATTTCGCATTAAATGCTAGCCTATGTGCTGTTTTATAGTCAAATTGAAAGAAGAAATGTGGTTATATGTAGAAATTTACGTTCCTTGTTATCATTATATTCTTAAAATTCAAACGCAGCAAGATAAAATGGAACCATTAACTTCTGAACTTCTTGGTTTAATAAAAACATTCAGGGAATTAGAGAAATATAATTAAATTCTATTGAAATGTATGAGACCAATCTATTTTGAAGATGGGGATAATAGCAGGAAATGTAGGCTATTCTCTTGGTACCATGTATGATTGTGCCTTGCTTTTAACCTTTGCAAAGATGCAGTAATGCATAAATTATAACAACATTTTAAAGGTTAAAGTAAAAATCTTCAAACATTAAAGGGATTGGATCATATCAAATTACTCTCCAGTCTTGAAAGCTTTAGAGTTAAAACAAGATACATCTTATGGGTAAATCGCTTGAACTAAATATAATTGAGACTTTCAAAAAAAATAGATGGAAATAAAAGTGATATATTTTGACAAGAATCGCTTTCTTTGGCAAAATGTATTAATTTCAGTACTGGAAAATATCTAAAATATACACAGTTTGTATTCGTTAGCATAGTCTATCTTTCCAAATTCAAATGACTGTTTTCAAATTCAATATACTTGCTTACATTAAATCACATGCTACCTTATCATTTGACCATATTATGAAAGCTTGAATAGTCTCCTGAGGATCTAATGAACAATATTGGTATGGCTTAGCATTCTGAAGAAAAAAATTTAGTATGATATTAAAAACAGAATCATAAGCCAACATAGGAAGTTACAAAATGAATCTTAAGACACTAAGTAAACACCAATCTCATTGATTTTACTGACAGACTACATATATAATATCATAGCATAAAGATTTGGGGAATCTAAATGAATGCAATGATGAAATTGTTTTACATATACATACAGTATAATAATGCTTTTTGTTTTAGCATTCCAAGAAGTAAAGTATGGATGTATATGCAAATATATACTGCCATTTATTTAGTAGATTTTCTTATTGTGCTAAACTGGAATTTATAAATATATTAGGAAATACTTCCATAACTTTCCTTTTTTAAAATTAACTTGCAAACCATTGCACTCTCCTATTCAACATGCTATTGCCTCTTTACCAAGAGCAAACATACAAAACAAGAACAGAAACATATACATAGATGGATAACGGTTAAATACAGTACACATAATACTATATAAGTATACAAAAATATACATAATTACACATCTTTAAAAACAGCAACAATATTACAAATGTTATTGGAGTCAGACTGCCAATATTGGGATACTGACTCCCCTACTTACTAGATAAAAGTGAGAACTGAGGCAAATTGTTAACCTGCTTGCTTCGATTTCCTTAAATATTAAATGGCAGAAGTATTTATGTCCACTTTTTATTATTGTTGTCAGAATTGAAAACATATGTTTTCTAAATATACAATCATGTCATCTGCAAACAGGGACAATTTGACTTCCTCTTTTCCTAATTGAATACCCTTTATTTCTTTCTCCTGCCTGATTGCCCTTGCCAGAACTTCCAACACTATGTTGAATAGGAGTGGTGAGAGAGGGCATCCCTGTCTTGTGCCAGTTTTCAAGGGAATGCTTCCAGTTTTTGCCCATTCAGTATGATATTGACTGTGGGTTTGTCATAAATAGCTCTTATTATTTTGATATACATCTCATCAATACCTACTTTATTGAGAGTTTTTAGCATGAAGCACTGTTGAATTTTGTCAAAGGCCTTTTCTGCATCTATTGAGATAACTATATGGTTTTTGTCTTCGGTTCTGTTTATGTTAGACCTAAAACCATAAAAACCCTAGAAGAAAACCAGGCAATACCATTCAGGACATAGGCATGGGCAAGGATTTCATGACTAAAACACCAAAAGCAATGGCAACAAAAACCAGAATTGACAAATGGGATCTAAAAAAAATAAAGAGCTTCTGCACAGCAAAAGAAACTACCATCAGAGTGAACAGGCAGCCTACAGAATGGGAGAAAATTTTTGCAACCTACTCATCTGACAAAGTGCTAATATCCAGAATCTACAAAGAACTCAAACAAATTTACAAGAAAATAACAAACAACCCCATCAAAAAGTGGGCGAAGGATATGAACAGACACTTCTCAAAAGAAGACATTTAGGCAGCCAAAAGACACATGAAAAAATGCTCATCATCACTGGCCATCAGAGAAATGCAAATCAAAACCACAATGAGATACCATCTCACACCAGTTAGAATGGCGATCATTAAAAAGTCAGGAAACAACAGGTGCTGGAGAGGATGTGGAGAAATAGGAACACTTCTACACTGTTGGTGGGACTGTAAACTAGTTCAACCATTGTGGAAGACAGTGCGGCGATTCCTCAGGGATCTAGAACTAGAAATACCATTTGACCCAGCCATCCCATTACTGGGTATATACCCAAAGGATTATAAATCATGCTGCTGTAAAGACATGCACACATATGTTTATTGTGGCACTATTCACAATAGCAAACACTTGGAACCAACCCAAATGTCCAACAATGATAGACTGGATTAAGAAAATGTGGCACATATACACCATGAAATACTGTGCAGCCATAAAAAAGGATGAGTTCATGTCCTTTGTAGGGACATGGATGAAGCTGGAAACCATCATTCTCAGCAAACTATCTCAAGGACAAAAAACCAAACACCGCATGTTCTCACTCATAGGTGGGAATTGAACAATGAGAACACTTGGACACAGGAAGGGGAACATCACACACCAGGGCCTGTTGTGGGGTGGAAGGAGGGGGGAGGGATAGCATTAGGAGATATACCTAATGTAAATGACGAGTTAATGGGTGCAGCACACCAACATGGCACATGTATACATATGTAACAAACCTGCAGGTTGTGCACATGTACCGTAGAACTTAAAGTATAATAAAAAAAGTGGAAAAAAAAGAAAATATATGGAATATATATGTATATATGAGGCAATAAAACAGAATGTGATGATAGCTATTGTAATGTAAACATAGGTATTACTATATATATCACTATTGTCAGAATTAAAAATATATGTAATATACATGTATCTATGAGGTAATATAAAAGAATGCAATAAATGATAGCTATTATATACATAGGTAATACTATATATATCACTAGAAGTAGAGATTTGCAGATCACTTTCAATCCAATAAGCAGTTATAGAGAGCATATTGTTTTTTATTCTGAGGTATTTTAAAATTTATTCTGAGGTATTTATTCTGAGAAATGAGAGTGAGCAGGTAGATGCTACAATATAATATCCCATTATTATTAAGACCCTTGCTACTGATTCTTTACGTGTTAATCCTTTTAGGAAACATACAGTACTAATCACAAGAAATTAACTAATAATTAATTTGCAAACCTTAATTGTAAGAAAGTGTCATTTCTAAAACCTAACCGTTTGCCTCTTATTGCCAATCAACTGTTAACATTTAAAAGGGTTATTCCAATCAGTACTGTCAATCTCTGAACTCTATCAACTCTGAATGAAGGAAACTGTCACTAACGGTGAGATCCTTGAAACTAAGTGTAGCGTCTGAATAATGATCATTTTACAGAATGACTGGGACACAAAATGTTGTCAATAAATGCTTGCTAAATGAAGTTATCAATAGTTAATTAAAGCAGGTACACAATGCATAGGCGATTACTAGGATTTTTAAATATATTACAAATGAAAGAATACTGGGAAAGCTTTCCAATATGAACTGAATCTCTGTCAGGTATCATTATTCTAACATGAGTGAATTCTGCTTAACCATCTAAATGAATTGATCTAATATTTTATTATGTTTCTTCTCAAAACTCAGATGGCACAATTGAGGTAGAGATATTATCCCATTTGATAGTAATTCTCCATAGGTAACTTTTTCCAGAATCCTATGGCCTTAGTAAGGGCAGTGTCACACATAATCCTTCCTAGGTAACACTTGCTCAAGAATATAATTACTCTATTAAGCTATAATACACTTATGAGTCTGCAGGGTGCTTTTGTTGCAGGACTTTTCCTTAGTTCAGCTAAAGACAGGCTTCTTGTCCCAGGGCCATGAAAGTTTAATCTCACAGATGGCTTAAAGTGTGAGTAAAGCAGGGTTTTATTGGGTGAAAAGAAAAAAATGGGGAAACAGGGACTCTCCACAAGGCTAGAATTCCTGCTTCCCACCTCGCAGTTTGAATCCCAGGTTCCGCCCAGGAAGTGGAGGTGCCAGGCTCCTCACCACTGCAAATGGTGTGAACCTCTGTGCCTCCACCCCAGTGCACATTCCTCCCAGTGTGCAGGCTGGTTGGAGTTTTTCCGGGGACCTCGTCCCAGCTGGTTGTTTATCGCCCCCTTCTAAAGAGGCACATCTAACTGCTCTTAGAATAAGGATAAGGATGAAGACTGTTTTAACTGCTTCCTGCTGACAGAGGGTGATGTTTTGGGGTAAACAGCAGTCAGAGCTCTCTCAGAGGCTTATTTACGGGCTCCCAGCAGAAGGGGCCATCATCAGAGGCTTCGGTTGCGTGATCATTTGAAGTTTGATGGCCTGAAGGCAAGAACAGACAAACTGGGTTATTAGAAAACATGTATCAATACAAAACAAAGGGAGGGGTAAGGACAGCTCTAAAATTCTGAGGCCTTTTACCAATTTGCATGGGGCGAGGGAGGCCAAAAGCCCAACTTATAAATGTTTACCCTTTTGCTGGCATGTTGGGTTTTTGGGTTCCCTTCCCCTGAATGCAATACTAAGCCAACCAGTTTAAAGTTTGGGAAATTAACTCTTTCAAGTTTCGAGGATGCATCTGATGGGAGTGTCCTGTACTATGAAGACAGTTACCTTTCTGTGAAGAGAGAACCGAGGAGGAGAAAGGAACGAAGAGGGCGTATTTCAAAGGAGTCCCAGGAGTTCAGGATGCATTTGAAAGGGGTACAGACTGAAGATGAATGGCTACTCATAAAGAAAGACAAGAGCAGGCATCCCTGGTTCCCTTCTCTTCCTAGCAGATATCCAGGATATGTGAGGGAAAGCAGGAAGAACATTCTCTTTCCTTCTTCCATCCTCTCATCCCCAAGTCCCGGCGACCTTGGCAGGTGCCGTCATGAGTGTCAAAGCAGCTTGCACTCATGAAGCAGGGGGACCTAGGAGGTGAAAATCATCTGCTGTTACCCACGTATGTCCTACCTCCCCTGCTGTCAGTAGCCTTGAATTCCATACATTTCATTTATGCCATGGATACTAACACGGCCTTTATCCTTGAAACAGGAAGCTTAGACTCGGCTTAATCGGCAGGAATCAGCCATGCTTACCTGCACTATGCCTTTTAAACTCTGTTGTCTGCTTCTAGGTCCCTTAGATCTAGTTTTCTTTCCTAGGGCTTCAACCTGAAGCTTGGAATTGAGTTTGGGAAGAAACTGTGGCACTGGGGGGTGTCGTGGACTCCTTATCATAAGCTGAATGCTAAGGTGAAGCTGTGGAATTGAGTCCTCCTCCATCAAGGGAGAGAAAAGGATGTCTTTTGACACACCCAGATAACTCGTGGCTATAGTTATGCTTGCTAGGATTTGGGTGCATGGGGCTTGGCTTTGGTTAGCTCCCTTGGTCTTACTTTCCCAAAAAGGAAACCTCCAGATCATGGGCACCCTGTTTATTCCCAGCACCTGGCAGAATTTGCAGGATAATTGCTTTGAACCAGAATGTTGATCTGCTACATTATCCATCCCTTTTGTTCTTTCTGAGCTGCAGCCAGAGATGCTGGTTGCTTTACAGGAACAAGCAGGGTTAGTCTAAAATGTAGGCAAAAACTTGAAAACAACGAGTGAGTTTCGAATTTAATGACAAATATATGATAAGTTTTGAAACAAGATTTCTTTCTCACCAGTTCTCATTTTTGTTAAAAAAAAATATTATAGGACTAAATGGTTTGCAAAATAGACTTTAGTCTTACACTTGGCCTGATTATTTGCATAAAGTGCAGCAAGAATAATTATTTCTACACAGGCCCTTTGGATTTGCTTTGATGGAAGTTTGTTCCACAAGGAATCTCAGATAAGATCTTTTAAGTCTGAGTCCAGCCATGGGTTTCCATCCTCAAATATCTGCAAATTGGGTGATTCTCTCCTCTTAAGGTCTCAAGATAAACTCTGAGCTCCTGGACCTGTTAGAAAGTGACACTCTTTACTGACCACAGGTCAGGAACCCTGTGCAGGGACTGCATATATGAGGGTATGAGGCCAGTTTCTCCCATGGGGCTTTTATTGGCTCTGCAAATCGAGAATGACTCCTTAAAGGGAAGCATACCCTTCCAGTCAAAGCCTTGGTAACATAACCACTTTCTCCAATAGTGTCCTGTTGCAAAATAAAAATAGATTCTTATTGCACTGATGCAAACAACTATATTGCCATAAGAATACTCACAGATAGTTTCCAAATTCTAGAGGAACCAGACAGACAGAAACAAACATGCTCCAATTTTTTTCATGGGCGTATACTTTACTCAATTATTAAAGCCTATAAATAACTCAAAATAAGTTTCCTTGACTCTGAAAAACAAATCAAGGATCAGCAATATTCCAATCAAAAGTCAAAAAGGTTGCTTCGGCTTTCTGAGTTAAGTCCATTTCATTAACTTTTGTTTTGCTTGATACTTGTGAACATTTCAGATTTGATGAGTCCTGTACATTTTCCTTTATTCTAATGTCAAAATCTCCAAAGTTATCAGAAGCTCGATTGTCTCCAGTACAAGCAGAAATTGTATTTGTGATCACCTGTAAGAGTCCTATAGCTTATTATAAACCATTTTTGAAAAGAATTAAAACAAGACAACTATTTTCTGTGAGTAACAAAACGTCCAGGGTAGTTACAGTTAGAAACATAACTGACAAAGAAGTTTGGTTATCTCCGTGGTTTACAATAACTTAACATAGCAATATTAATTATGATTAATAGCATATACTTAGACATGAGAATTTTAGAACTCCCATACGACTTTGGAATATATATTAGCATTATTCACAAAAATATAACCTAAGGAAGACTGAACATCATTTATTTCCAGTAGTTTCAGTTACATGTCATGATAAATCCTAGCAATTATTGACTTTAAAGTAAAGCCTGGTAAGTTGTTTTAATTGTGTGCTAAGTGCAGCCAAGGTTTGCCTTCTTAATTAAGGGGGTGGTTAGTACCATATGTCCCTAGGTCTTACCCATTGTGAAGCTGGCAAATCAAATTGTTCTCAAAACCCCAAAAGCAGTTTATAACCTTAAAACATTTACCAAACCTTGCAACTGACCAGCATAATTTAGTTCACCTATTTATATTTTAATGATACCTGCATTATACCAATAATCTTTAAGGTTGTTTTTTATTTCTCAAATATTAAAGTCAAGTGAACTGAAAGGTACTACAGCTTTATTCTTCCCTTTAAAAAATATTTTATCTAAGCACTCACTTGTCTGTCTTTACACCAAATTAATTAGAGCTCTTTTTACAGACGTCACATACACACACACAAATATAACTACAAAGACAGGCAGGAGAAAACCCAGTCCCCGAGTGGAGTTCTTTAAGAGACAGGGTTAGGAAAACATGCAGATATCAAAACAGAAAGAAACTTATTCCCTAAGGAAGGATTGCTGAACAAAGCCTTGCCACTGGAATTACAAGCCATGCCCCCAGGATGTAAAACAAGATGGAGGCTTGCAAGTTAAGTTTGCTACAAACCATAAGGATATGGGAAGCACACCAGATTGGCTATGGTTTAAGAGCAGCCTCACAAATTCTTTTTCACAGTTAAAAGCTTTACAGAGAATATAAACAGTGATAGTTTGGGGGCCTGGCCTAGTAAAGTGTCTTCTAAAAGGGGGAAAAAAGAAATTTTAAAGGTTAACTGCTGATGGGGTGGAAAAGAGGAAGAAAAGAAAGTTTTAAAATTCCTGGGGAAGAACCTCTTATTCTTATGCAAGTAGTTCCTCCACCAGGGAGAGTAGTTTAACTACTGTTCAATAGAGTTAAACCCCTTGGCCAGGCAAAGGGAAGGCTGCAGTGGCAGGTGGCTGGGAACCAGCCAGCTGGCTGTGTGGGACCCTTGGACCATGCATCCTAGCCCTGGCATGGAGGGGAGTGGGAGTGAAGAGCACCACTCATGTCAAAAAAGTAAGAAAAGGGCCATGGAAAGGCCCCTGACCCCAGGGAGCAATGGGGGTTTAGGGCGCGTTTCACCTAACCTCAGAAGTCTGAGAATGAACAGCTTAAAAGCCACTATGAGACGTTTTGAGTCCCCATTTCACTCACCACTTCTTGAGCCCCACGTTGGGAGCCAAAAATGTTGCAGGACTTTTTCTTGGTTCAACTAAAGACAGGGTCCTTGTTCCACAGCCACAAAAGTTTAGGTTCACAGACAGTTTGAAGGGTGAGTAAAGCAGATTTTACTGGGTGAAAAGAGGAAAAAAAAGGGGGGAATAGGGACTCTCCGCAAGGCCAGCATTCCTGCTAGAATGCTTCCTGCCTCACAGTTTGAATCCCAGGTTCCGCCCAGGAAAAGGAGGGGCGGGGCTCCTCACACTGCAAATGGTGCAAGCATTTGTAGCTCCACCCCAGTTCACATTCCTCCCAGTGTGCAGGCTGGTTGGAGTTTTTCTGGGGACCCTCTCCCACCTGGCTGTCTCACTTTGTGTATGTGTATACATACCTATGGTGACCACTAGATTTTAAAAAGTTACATTGTTATCTGTATTGGGGATGTCTTAAAAGTATAGATGTTTAATAGGCAACATTAATATTCAGTATTTAGCTAAAAATATGATATTTTATTAAATTATTATCATTCAAGAATGCACTTATGAGTTTATTTGTTTATTTTCAAGCACATTGAGATGTTTCTGGTTTTGACATTTATTGATGTTTCCCAGGAATCAGTACATTTGATATATTTGAAATCTAAGGGAGGTAAATAAAACCAGAAGCTTCCTGTGAATGTTAATTTATGGGCACATATGTGATCTTCTTTTTGCATATAAGTAGTACTTATTTGGTCATATTGAAGATGAGATATATAATTTATCTAAAAACAGCTAACAATGCAAAAAATTCCATGTGTTTGCCTTAGAGATTTTGCTCTGATTTAGTGTTGCTTTATGTGTAGCCACAAACATTTTATCCCTTGTTCTAAAATATACAGCTATATGAATTTTAACAGAATGGAAAAAAAACATATACCAGGAGTCAGTAACCACAGCCACTCCTCTCGATAGCATTCTTATATACTATATTTTCTTCTGTTTCATCACAGTTAGACTACTCTTCTACTCAATGTCACGGGGGCACCATTAATCAAAAACGGATGTTTTGTTGAGCAGGCGAGTATCACAAATGACTACCCACCTGAGAAAACCTTTTATACTTAGGGACACAAAAGATCCCATTGCATTTTCTTCTAACACAGGGGTGAAAAGTCCAGTACTTCTAATATATCTAAAAATAAATAAAAGTGTTTTCTATCAAAAGGTTGTGAGCTTCATCAACTGTCAGACTTACAACTTTAGGGTAGTGCTTTAAGGCCCATCGGGATTGACACCAGAGATAAAAAGTAGAATAAAATTTTTTCAGTCATTTGGGTTAATTTCTTGTTTAATTTAATTATTTTATGACATCTCTAACTACCAATGAAAATACAATAAGTTATTCTAATAAATTATTCCATTAAGATTTAGTTAATACATATTTTGTACTCTCTTTTAAGAAAATTTTTGAGAAACTAACATGACTTTTGAATATAAATATACCCTCTAGTATTATGCAATGAAAATAAAGGAATATCTAATGACTTTCTAAATGCTGGCTTCTTATATATAAAAATACTAAAATTATGACCTAACAATTGTGTACTGTATAATGTTTGTGCTTCATCTCCTTTGGTCCCACTGAGTCTTTAATACTCTAGATGTTTCCTAGAGGAAACGTCTATATCAAACCTTGTTAAAGTTGATTTTGTCCCAGAATTCTTATGTTGCTGAAGTCTCATATTATTTTTTCAGCCAATGAGGCTTCACAGAAGTAGACGATGCTTCCCTTCCTTTCGTTTTGGGAGCAAGAGATTTACTAAGTTTTTGATATTCTGTTTCTGTGGAACTTTTAATTTCTAACACTCACTTCTGTCTTTCATTTTACCACCAGTTGTCCAGGAGAACTTCCCTCATGCAAGACAGTTTCCTCTCTCCATGAGACTTTGCCTTTCAAGATTACCTCCCCTGGTCTCACTCATTTTGAAGTCTTTTTCTCCTGCTTGTTGAGAATACACAGATAAGGTCAGATCCATCAGATTTTGGAATATTTTCTGGTATTTGACACACAGGTTGAAGCTCTTTCTGAGATTGCTTATATCTGTGTTTTGCTTTGGCTAGGATTCCTCTGCCTCTTCCATTTTCCTAAGCCTCCCTCTGGCTTCTTGCTTTGATATTGACTCTGTGCCTAGCTCTGTTGACTTCAGGTTTTTTCTGCACTTACATATACATGGACATTCTCCACTTGTCCAAATTGAAGTTTAGTGTTTTCTGTTGCCTAATTGTGCTATAGACATACTGTTTGACTATATATGTATATAATTATATAGTTTTTGGAAGATCTTGGCAGTATTATTTCATGGAAAATTAGAATTTTAAAATAATAAATTAAACATGACCTTTAGACCCAGGAACTACAGCCCCATGAATGAACTTAATAAATTATTTATCACCTATCCCAGAACTGCCATCTCTTTTGTTGCCAAAATGCACAAGTGTGAACCTAAAGAATGGACATGTGGATTCAGATCTTTTTAAAGCTGTCTTTGACATGGAAATAAGCTCATTTGTTATGTTTGTTGTATTAGGTCTGGCTCCAACTCTCCAATCACTGATTCTCCAATTTCACTATGTATTGAATTTAACTCAAATGATATTTAAAGGTACAGTTTCCAGGATCACAGGCCTTGATATTGTAACTCCATAGGACTGAAAGGGAGAGTAGAACTGGTAGAACTGACGTGTTTAACAGTAACTACCAGCTCTTTTCAGTATGAATGTTCTGTGGACCACCCTTTGAGAACTGGAACAAAATGGGTCATTTTCCAATGTATTTTATTTATGGTGTGGGCCATATGGATTTCTGGGGGATAGTAGTATTAGTAGTCCAGGCACTGGGAATGAACTTTAAAGTGAGAGTGTGCTAGGTACATTGGAGGCATGGTGATGAAGTTAATGGAAGTAGATGCCAGTGAGTGAGGAAGGCGACATCAGGAGATGAGATCAGAAAGGTAGCCCAGTTGTAGCAAGTTATATATGGATTTGTAGCCTATGTAACTTACCTCAGATTTTATTCTAAATAATATAGAAAACCATTGCGAAATGTGTAATATAAGGTTATCATGCTATAACTTCAGAAATATCAGTTTGAATGTTTTATGAAGAAGAGACTCAGGAAATCAGTGTAGACAGTAGGAGAATATTAGAATGTTACTACATTAAACATGATAAAATGCTATAGTAGTATTGAAAAGGATGATAACATTGGTGATAGTGAGAAATGGTTTGATTCTGGATATATTTTGAAAATATAAGATTTTTTAAATTAATTAGATAGGGGTTGTGATGGTAAAGAGCTGAGAAATAACCTTAAAGTGTTTTGGCTGAGCAATTAGAAAAATGCTGTTGCCATTTACTAAAATATGGAAAATCAGAAATGAATCATACTTGGGTAGGAGTTGTTAAGGGTTTGGTTTGGATATATTGTCCTGAGATGTTTACAAGTCATCAAATTAACATGACTTATGAACAACTGGCTACTTATATTTGGAGGTGTGAAAATAAGTCAGCACTGAAAATATAAATTTTGGAGTTAACAAATGTTATGTAATATGTAAAGCAATATGTCTGGAGAAGCCTACCTGGGGGGTTCAATTTAGAGACCAGAGGGCTCTGAAGAACAACTGCTCTAACCTTTACAGATTAAGGAGAGGTGGAAGGAATGAACAAGAAAAACAAAAAAAAGAAGACAGAAAATATGAATAGAACCAAAAAAGATTTACATACAGCTAATGGAAGAGTGTTATATTTATCAAACAAATCAAATACTGCTTAAATATTAACTAAGATGATAAATGATATTTGATAATTGGCTTTGACAGTGTGACGATTATTAGTAACATTGACAAGAGCAGTGGAGACAAACATCCTTAAATGAGAGTGCTTCAAGAGTGAATGCAATGAAGAAAAGAAAGAGAGAGAGACAGAGACAGACAGAGAGAGAGAGTAATACCGGGGTGTAACGACTGTAAATACTTAAGGGTTATAAGTCCCATAGAAGTACATCAATTACAACACAAAGTTGAAATGACTACATTGAAAAGGGACATTGTTTGAGGTTGTTGTTAAAGAAAAAATCTCGCTTTTCATTTAGGAGAAAGATGAAATTGTAATTGTAATGAGATATAATAACAAAATTATAAGGCCCTGTCTCTGCATGTATTGGCTTCTTTATTAGTGAGTCAATTGTGAGACAAGCCATTTGTGTTTTAAATAAGGATCAGGCATGCCTCTTACATAAGTTTTTGATAAACAGCTTGAATATAGCCTATGAACTGCAGACTTTTATTGACACCTCTCCTCTCCCTTTTTATGTATTCTATTCTTTGAAGACAAAAACGAAAAACAAATTATCTCATCACAGCAGCATTGCCAGAATAATAATGATAATATACTTCATTATGTGATCCTTCTCAAAAAGCAATTTTTATGGCGTTGCACGTGTAAAGAACCTTTTAGATTACCCAGAACATGTCAGAGCCTTTCAAAGTTCCATGTTGTTATCTAGTCCTCCAGAACTTCTGTATAAATCCTGGCCAAGCTGCTCTAACTGAAATCACAGCTGTAGGCAAGTGAGCTGTTGCCAGCAGTTTCATTTTGTTTGGTAATACCCTGGAAGTTGGCATCCCCTACTCTGCTGATCTGAGGACTGTGTCAGATCAAAGAGCACTAAACCCTGGGAACGGAGATTTTCCAGGATCTTCAAGTTCAGATAAAATATTGACTGTGTGTGGAGATGGGGCTTTTTAAGGTAGCTCCAAAAGAGGTAAGTCATCTTCTTCTGCTGCAGGGCTTTACTCTGCTATCACGCCACTGAGTTGAGAGAAGGGGAAAGTAGAAATAAACTCAAGTTAAAATATTGCAGACCTCACTATTTTATCAAAATTAAATAGTCTCTCTTGATTAAGTTATTTTTAGTTCATTCTGTGGTATTTGTTAATTACCAGAGTCCTAAAATGGTGAATTTTAGTTATTTTGTCTATATTTTTGTTGGTTCAGAAAAAGAAGTTTATCAATGTACTTGCTTGGCAATTCTGAAAGTCCCTTTCAGCTCTGCTCCTTTGATGATACACCAATGTCTATCCTCCTTTTATTAAGTAGCTCTATATCTCTAGCAGGCTACAAGAAAGTCAGGCTAGGCTTTTATTTAGTACCCTTGAAGTCCCTCTCTCTCATTTGAAGTCAGGAGGTTCATCAGGATAGGAAGGTCGATTTTTTTTTTTTCTCAGTCACTTCAGTCTCATCTCATTTACAACAGCTCTGCTCAGGATGAAGAAGTTTATGCTGTGGTAACACAAGGAAATATACTACAGCAAACATTGATTCTTCACTTATACTTTTAGTTCACTTAGGTTGATGTGGGCATGCCCTGTTCTACACAGACACTCAGGGACCCAGGGTAACAGAGACTCCCCCATGATGTAGTTGTACTATTTGGAACTTGTAGCATCTTCATGTGGCAGGTGAAAAAGTTTGTGGAGATCTCATCAGTACTCCTCCATGCTTCAGCCTAGAAGAGGAGCAGTGCTGAGATCTCTATGAACTTTTTCACCTGCCACATGAAGGTGAAATGCCATGACAATTTCTCTCCAAAAAAAGAAAAGTCAGCCAGGCACGGTGGCTCACGCCTGTAATCCCAAGACTTTGGGAGGCCGAGGCGAGCAGATCACAAGGTCAGGAGATCGAGACCATCCTGGCTAACACGGTGAAACCCCGTCTCTACTAAAAATACAAAAAATTACCCAGGCATGGTGGCAGGCACCTGTAGTCCCAGCTACTCAGGAGGCTGAGGCAGGAGAATGGTGTGAACCCGGGAGGCGGAGCTTGCAGTGAGCTGAGATCGCGCCACTGCACTCCAGCCTGGGCGACAGAGCGAAACTCCATCTCAAAATGAAATAAAATAAAATAAAATAAATTAAAAAAAACCAAGTCATAATTAGTCACATGGCTTTGCTTATGCTGCAAAGAGATTTTTATTTTTTAATATATATTTTTTGCCTTATTTATGACTAGAAAAAGAGGAGAAACTGCAGTCTACTTAACTACTCTTAAGCTGGCTGCTGCTTAAGTGTTGCAAAATCAAATTTAAACAATTTCCTCTTGCTGTCCTCTGTGGGTGGTCTAGCACTTTACTTTTGAATTGGCACATAGTTACTATCTATCATCTTTTCGTTATCCTACTGGTGCCTCAGCTGAAATGAAAAAAAAAATCTCCTTTACTTCCTTACCATACAAAGTAGAATATTTTATAGTTATAATATTTTGTTAGAAGCTTTTTTAAAAATTGTCTCCACAGTAGCCAGTAAGAATTGGCTCTCTACCCATTTCTAGTCTAGGAATGAGAGCCCCATTTTTATTTGTTCATCGTTTTCTTCCAACTGGCTCAGAGAACAGGAAGTTACACTGATACAATCTGACAGTATGCCTGCTAGTGTCCACCTAAACAATAAATGGTTTTCAGGTATTATTAGCACTAACTTTTGCATTGCTTTTCTAAAATTAATGTCTAGCTTTAAACCGGCTATTCCATCAAATATAGATAATTTAATTCAGAAAGAATGTATTGACTGAACAAGTTTGCTTGGTCACCTTACACCTGGGGCTTCTATCATTCATCATTTAATGATCCAATAAGTAGAGTGGTCTTGTGTTTCTATTGCATGCAAAGGAATGAGCTAGAATCTTAGATTATGACAAGTAGGTGAAACATACATGCATATTATCCTCATGTAATTTTTAGTCTATTAAAGTTAATACTAGAAAATGATATAAAACAAACACCTTAATTCCTGCAGTAATGCAACAATTATTTAATGTATTGAATACTTATTAGATGCCAGCTACTGAAAATACAGAAGCAAATGGAGCATTATTTCTGTCCTTAGGTATGAAATTATAAAAATTCCTTTGATTTATTCATTTCCACTTGTATGCATTACAAAACAGCAATAACAGATAAAATCATATTATAATTTGAATATAGCACTTATAATTTCCAATGTAGCTCTGTATAGATTCTGACAAGGTCATTACAACTTATGTCTCAATTTCTCTCCCTTCTAGGACCACTGGGATGGTGACATCACCCCCGTGGCTAGACCAGATGGGAAGGCCCAAAGCAGCAATCAGTTTGAACTCCACTCCCATTGTTCTCTCCAGTTCTGTGTGTTCTTTGAAACCTAGGTGGGGGCAGCCATGTCTCTGGGGCCTGTGTACTCTGGTGCACTGACTTCTGCTGAGTTAGCTGGGTGGGACCTCCTTCCCAGTGCACTTAGAAGGAAGAACATCAAACCAAAGAAGATTATTCTTGAGGCTTAAGGTCTAATGTAGTTTGCCTTTCTAGGTTTCAGACTTTTCTTGGGAACCCTCAACCTTCCCTCTTTCCTGCTTGTTCCTGTTGGAATGGGAATGTCTATGCTATGTCTGTTTATATTTTGCAAGTATATAACTTGTTTGCTTTCACAGGTTTACAGATAGAGAGGAATGTTGCCTCAGGATAAATTGCACCCTAAATCTCATCTATATCTGATTTAGATGATATGTTGATGATATTTTAGATTTTACAATGGATGTTGGATTGATTCCAGACTTTTGGGGCTGCTGAGATAAAGTGAACGTATTTTACCTGAGAGAAGAACATGAAATTTGGAGGCAATGGATGGAATATTCTAGACTAAGTATTTGACCCCCGAATTCATATGTTGAAACCCTATCCCTCAATGTGATTGTATTAAGGGTGTAGCATTTGGAAGTAATTAGTATTAGATGAGATGACGAGGGCAGAGACCTCATGAGTGGTAATAGTGCCCCTATAAGAGTTCTAAGAGAACTTGCTTCACTCTGCTCTACACCATGTAAGATTACAATGAGAAGTCAACAGTCTGCAGTATGAGAGAGAGTCTTCACTAGAATCCAACTATGTTGTCACCCTGATCTCTGACTTTCAGTTTCCGGAACTGTGAGTAATACGCTTCTAGTTTTTATAAGCAACTAAGTTTATGGTATTTTGTTACAACATCCTGAACTAAATAAGACAAATGAGTACAGCCAAGAAGACAGGTGACTCCCTCTACCCCCATCTTCAAGTTCATAGCTGTGATTTCACCTCAGAAGGGGCAAGCCATCAGCCTTTCTCATCCTTTCCCCACCAAAACAACTATTAAAGAATTTCCCTTTTCTCATCTAGCCCCTACTTGTAGGATGCAAGCTCCACTCCAAATGTGGCAGGCCAAGAACACTGTGCTCTGATTGCCCCCATTCAGATTGCTCATGAGGAAGATGTTTCACACTGAGAAAGGTAAGTGGAGAAGACCAGGAGCTATTATCTCTATCTTCAGGCCTGCTCATAGTGACAGGATATTATTCCAGAGAACTGAGAAGACATCTGGTCTCCTAGATCCTTTGTGGTGACACAGATGTTCTGTCCAGAGAAGGGGAGGCATGCTTTATTGAGTAAGAGCTTTGCAGCTCCGTTTAAGGAAACTGACTTTATTTGAAACAGGGCATGTAAAATTCCATGCCTAAGATACCAGTCAAAATCACTGGAGATCATGATTAATAGTAATTAAGAGGGTTTTCCTAGCTCCAGAATACTAGCAGCAATCAAAACAACAGAACAACAAAACTATAACAAAAATAACCTGATTAAAGTGTAGCCAAGTATCATTCTTTTGGAATCACAGGCAATTCTGGAAGCCAGGAAGGTTGTGCACGTGTACTAGGCTAAACTCAGGGCAATGAGAGCAGGACATGGGGCAGACAGGAAAACATGAATCTGCCCACAAATCCATCAGTATAGCCTGGAAGCCTCACTGTCAAAGGCACTGAAACACGCCACATGAGCAAACATGGATAAATAGTAAGCTACTATAAACTGGCTCAACTGCTAAAAACTAGGATTAAAAATAAAACCAAAAGCATCCTTGGAGAGATAGAAGACTGTGTGCATGTCCAGGGCTGTCCCTACTCAGAAGTGGTCAGAAAGAGAAGATCAAAGTTACTAGTCCCTGGCTGAATGTGAGGCAAAAAGTTAAACTCCTTGATCTATGATAGCACCTCCAAGCCACACAAACACAGCCAATGGTAAAACATAAAAACATAACTTACTAAGGGAGCATAAACACCACGCTGGGCAAATAAGAGGCTTCTGCTGACCCAGGAGGGACCATTTGTTAGCCAGGCAAAAAGACGAAATCAAGGAAGACACTCTGAGAAAGGGCATGCTCCAGAAGAAACAGACTTTACAGAATTAGATTAGCCAAGTCATTAAACAAACATACAAAGGGAAAGCAAACAACAACAATATTAACCCAACCTAGGGGGATCAATATTCAAAGTTGATCTATATTATCTAAATATTATCTAAATATTTAGATAATATATATATATTATTATCTAAAATATATTATCTATAATGTATTTTATCTAAATATATGTATTTAGATATTATCTATTATAATATTATCTATTATCTAAAATGCTTATTATCTAATATATTATCTAAAATGCTTATTTTTTAAACAAAAAATTATGAGGTATATAAAGAAACAAGAGAGAGGATCCCATACACTGGAGCAAAAAAAAAAAAAAATACAAATACAAATCAGGCAATAAAAACTGTTTTTGAGGAATCCCAGATGATATTGGAGTTTAGTGAACACAGACCTCAAAGTAACTATAATAAGTATGTTGAAATGCTAAAAGGAAAGCAAGTGCAAAGAATTACAGACAAAAAAAAAAACCTGTAATGGCAATTTCTCATCAAATACATAATTGCAATAAAGAAGTACAAATTATTTTAAAATATTTGTGGAATTTACATTAAAATAATAAAAAATGTACTGGTATGGCTGAACAGTATATGGGAATTGGCAGAAGAAAAGATCCACAAAATCGAAGAAAAATTGATAGAGATTATGCAATTTGAAGAATAGGGAAAATAAAAAAAGAAAAATATACAGTCTCAGATAAATTTGGGTTATCATTAAGCACACCAACATACACATAATAAGAGTACCAGAATAAAATGAGAGGTAAAGAAATATTTTTGATGAAATAATAACAGAAAACTTCCCAAATTTGGTGAAAAACATTTATACATTCCAAAGTTTGAAGTTTTTAGTAAGCTGGATAAACATACAGTTCCACACTCACACATGTCATAGTCAAATTGTTGAAAGCCAAACATAAAAAGAAAATCTTGAAAGCAGCCAAAGAAAACCAGCTCTTCACACAAGGAGCCCAATACAATTAACAACTGATGTAATAAATAATTGAGTTAGAAGGCAACAGAGATGACATATTCAAAGTGCTGAAAATTTAAAAATAAAAATTAAAAAAGTGCCAATCAAGAATTTTTACACTTGAATAGCCTACAAAAATGGATCTTTTCCAAATCATTTTACTATCTAGAATAATATAATAAACATATTATAAACGTTATCCTAATGTTAAATGAAATATCCTACACTTCCAAAATGAATGCTCTCAATCCTAGCAAAAGAAAGAAAACAATGTAGTGTGGTAGAAGGTGCACAGAATTTTTACTTAGAGAAAAGTGAGATTGAATTAAACATCTGCCATTTCTTAGCTGCCACGGAATGGGCAAGATTCACAGTTTAAAAATCTCTGAAACAGAAATTAAAATACCTACATCGCAGGGTTATATAATAATTAAAAATTAAGACCTGCCATATGAGAAAGTGAGATTTGAGAAAAAATTGTGGTATGTAAATGGTTATTAATTAATTAAAACTGTACATTTCCAAATAACTCACTCAATGTAAATCAGAAGTCCCTGTCCCTGCTTTCCACAAATGGTCAGGATGCTCAGGGGATAAAATATTACTAATCAACAAAATTCTTCAGAGAAAGTAAATATATTATTTTCTAATTAGCAAAGTTTCAACACTCAGTATATTTTCATGAACACTCTATTGCTAAGTCTTAACTACAGTGGAATCAGATGATGTTTGAAAATATTCCAAACATTTCTTTGTTCCATTATCTTAGGTAAGCTTTAGGTGTGGATATAAATGCAAATTTGTTGCATAACTGGAATTTTAAAATAAAATCACTGAAATCCACTATATCATGACACAGAGGCAGAACATAAACCATTGTAACTTCACAAGTTTTTGCAGAGGTTTTAAGTTTTTCATAAATTATAGTTTATCTTACTACTGGCCACCCGGAAATAAAGTTATCTGTCTCTCTTGCAGTTAGAATAGACCATGTAACTGAGTCCTTGTTAATAGAATATGAAAGGAATTATGTGTGAAATTTCCAGACCAAGACATTATGAAGCAAGTGTGACCACCCTGTATTTTCTTCTGCTGCTGGCTATTGTCAAATAACACAAACGTATGCAGGAATACCAGAGTTACAAGATTTACTTTGTTAAACAATTTGCAGCAAAAAGCTAACCACCAAACACACATATTAATATTAATGGTTCAATAAACAAGGAAGAAAACCTCTAGTGTGTTTGAGCAATTACACATATTAGGATCTTTTTGGAACTACAATTATTTCAACATGTACAAAGTACATATTAGCATGGAACTAACCAATGAAAGACGCTTTAACAATTGAAGTTAAAAATATTTTTATTCCTGAATTTCTAAAGTTATTCAGTATATACTAATTAAGTCCTCTCTTTGTGTTAAACTTTGTATCAATACCAAGAATAAAATATTAATTAATGACCCAAGTTATTAGAAGGTTATATTATTTCATTCTGTGGATAGACACCTTTCTTCCAGTGGCAACTCAAATAGAAAACAGTAAAAAATAGAGTAGATATTTATCCATCTATATAAGCAATCACTTTGAATATCAATTTGTCTTAATGTACAGATTAAAGGACAAAGATTATCAGATTGGATTAAAAATAATACTCAAGTTAGTATATGTTGCCTACAAGAAACTCACTTCAAAGACATACATAGCTTAAAAGTAAATGAATAGAGAAAGATATATCATGCTAGCACTAATCAAAAGAAAGTATAAATAACTATATTAATTTCCAATAAAGCAGACATCAAACCTAGCTAGGAAGATAGATAAAGAAAGACATTGAATAATGATAAAGGGGTAAATTCTTAAAGAAAGCCTAAGAATCCTTAACATGTATGTGCCTAACACTGTCAAAATATGCAACGCAAAAACTGATAGAAATGTAAGGAGAAATTGGAGGAAATTACTACTGTATTTGGGTAATTCTACAACCCTCTTTCAGAAATGGACAAATCCAGCAGACACAAAGTCATTAGTAACATAGCTGAACTCAAAAATACCATCAATTAACTGTATGCAATTGATATTTGTAGACTACTTCATCCCACAGCAGAAGTATACACATTTTTCTCAAGCTCACATGATAGACAACATGCTGGGTCATAAAACACATATTAAAAACTCTAATGATAGAAATTATACAATGCCAACTCTCAGAACACAATGGTACTAAACTATAAATTAGTAAATTAAGAGTAACTTGAAAATTCCAAAATATATGGAGACTAAAAAACACACATCTAAATACCACATAGTTGACTTCATGTCTGTCTTTGCTAAAATTTGAGTAGCGCTGTGATGATCATATAAGTCCATATGTGGTTCCTTTTTTTTTTTTTTTTTGAGACAGTGTCTGACTCTGTCACCCAGCTGAAGTGCAGAGTGCAGTTGCAAAATCATGGCCTACCTCAGCCTTGACCTCCCTGGATCCAGTGATATTCCCACCTCTGCCTCCTGAGTAGCTGGGACTACAGGTGCACGCCAACGCATCCAGGTAATTTTTGTATTTTTTGAAGAGACTAGGTCTGGTCATGTTGCCCAGGCTGGTCTTGAATTCCTGGGCTCAAGCAATCTTCCCACTTCAGCCAATGTGTTGAGATTACAAGCATGAGCCACTATGCCTGGCAACATGTCTTTTTGGTAGACCAACTTATTTTCCTTTGGTATTCATCAGTGATGGACTGAATAAAGAAAATGTGGTATAATACACAATGGAATACTGCACAGCCATAAAAAAGAACTAAATTATATCCTCTGCACCAACATGATGCAGCTGGAGGCCATTATCCTAAGTGAATTAACACAGAAAACCAAATACTTCATGTTCTTACTTATAAGTGGGAGCTAAACATTGAATAAACATGGACATAAAGATGGAAAAAATAGACACTGGATACCACCAAAAAAGGGAAGGAGGGAGGAGGCATTGCATGAAAAACTACCTATTGATAGCTGGGTGATGGGATCCTCAGAATCGTATAATGTACGCATGTAATTAACCGGTACATGTTTCCCCTTAATGCTAAACAAATAAATAACACTTTGGTCAAAAGAGAAATTTCAAGGATGATTTAAAAATTTTGAACTAAATGAAAATAAAAATAAAATATCAAACTTTGTGAGGGGCAGTGAAAGCAGTGCTGAGAGTGAAAGTTATTGGTAAAGAAGAAAGAGCTAAACTTAACATTTTAAGCTTCCACCTTAGGAAACTAGAAATAGAAAAGCCAATTAAATCCAATGTAAGGAGAAGAAAATAAGTAATAAAAATTTGAGTAGAAATCAATGAAATTGAAAACAGGAAATCAGTAAAGAAAATCAATGACTTTTAATCTTGTTCTTTGAAAAGATAAAATTGAAAAGCCTCTAGCCAAGCTAAGTAAGAAAAAAAATAGAATATAAATTATTAGAGATAAAAGAGGTGCCAACACTACACATTCCAGAGATATTAAAAGGATAACAAAGGAATATTATGAACTACTCCAAACTTACATATTCAATAAATATGAATAAAATGGGCCAATGTCTTGACAGACAAAATTGGCTAAGACTCACACAAAAAGACATTCATAATGTCTATCAATGAAACTCAATCAATAATTAATTAACTTATAAAGCAAAAAGCACCAGGCCCAGATGTATACATTAGTGAATTTTTCTTATCTTTTATATAAAATAAATTATACCAATTTTCTGAAAACTCTTTCAGAAGGTAGAAGCAGAGGGGCTACTCCCCAATTCATTCTCTGTTTTCAGCAGTACCCTGCTACCAAAATCATTCAGAGTCCTTCCAAGAACAACAACAAAAACCTGCAGATCAACATCTCTGATGAGCATAGATGTAAAAATTCCCAACAAAATATTAGCAAATACAACAAACTATGTATAAAAATAATCCCACTTTATGACAAAGTGGGATTTATCTCAGGTATGTAAAGTTAGTTCATCATTCAAAAATAAATGATTGTAATCCACCACATCAACAGGCTAAAGAAAAAAAAATCACATGATTATATCAATAGATGCAGAAAAAGCATTTTACAAAATGAAACATCTTTTCACAATAAAAATTCTCAGTAAATTCTGAATAGAAGAAAACTTCCTAAATTGATTTTTAAAATATACAAAAAAAAGAAAAACAACAGACAACATTATACTTCTTCATGGTGAGAAAACTGGAACCATTCCCACTAAGAACAGAAACAAGGTAAAGATATCTCTTCTTGTTACCCCCTTTCAAAATCACACTGGAAGTCCCAGCTAATGTAATAAAATAAGAAAAGGAAACAGAAGGTATACTGATTGTGAAGGAAGAAATAAAATTATCTTTGTATGAAGATGACATGACTTTTTATCTGGTATATCCGAACAAATTAGCAAAAATCTCCTGAATCTAATAAGTGATTATAGCAAAATTGCAGAATAAGAAAATATATAAAAATTACTTGCCTTCCTACATATGAGGAATGAAAGTGAAATTTGAAATTAAAAACAATACCATTTACACTAGCATCCCAAATATGAAATACCTGGTTACAAGTCTAACAAAATACAAATAAGATCTATATGAGGGAAACTACAAAACTGATGAACTTAATACCTGGAGAGATATTTTACGTTCATGGATAGGAGAACTGAATATTGTCAGAATGTCAGTTTTTCCCAACTTGATCTATAGAGTCAATGCAATCTGAATCAAAATCCCAGAAATTCGTTTTATTGATAATAAACTTATTCTAACATTTATATAGAGAGGCAAAAAGTCTTACAGCCAACTTAATAACGAAGAAGAGAAAAGTTGGAGGATTGACACCACCCAGTTTCAAGACCTACTATAAAGTACTATAATCTTGACAGTGTATTGGCAAAACAGTAGGCAAAACTATTAATGGAACAGAATTTAGAGCTCCAAAATAGAGTTCTATATTCTGTTCCATTGATAGTTTTCTCTACCATAAATACAGTCATCTGATCTTTGAACAAAGAAAATATAATGGAACAAAGATAGTTTTTTCAATAAATGGTCCTGAAACAACTGGACATCCACTTGTAAAAAATGAATCTAAACACAGACCTTACACTCTTTGCATAAGTTAACTCAAACTGTATCACAGACTAAATGTAAAATGCAAAACTTTATATCTTCTAGAAGATAATGTAACATAAAATCTAGGTGACTGAGAGTCTGGCAAATTTTTAGAAATGACAATGAAGGCACAATTCATGAAAGAAAGAATTGATACACTAGAACTTATTAAATTTTTTTAAATCTGCACTGGGAAATACAGTGTCTAAGGAATAAATACAAAAATAAGGCACAGATAAGGAGATAATATTTGCAAAAGACATACCTGATAATTGTTGTTTAAACTATACAAAAAAATTCTTAAAAGTCAACAATAAGATAACAGACAACCAGTTAATAAGTGGGCCAAGGACCTTAACAGAGACCTCACCAAAAAAGATAAACAGATAGCAAATAAACATATGAAGACATGTTCCACATCATGTCATCAGGGAAATAACAATTAAAAGAACAAAGATATACTACTACCAAACTATTAGAATGGCCAAAATACAGAGCACTGACAACATCAAATGCTGATAAGGATGTGAAGCAAACTGAACGCTCATTCATTTGCTTGTGAAAATGCAAAATGGTACAGCGATTTCAGAAGACAGTTTGGTGGTTTCTTACAAAACTAAATAAACTTATACCATGTGATGCAGCAATCATACTTCTTGGTATTTATCAAAAGGAATTGAAAGTTTAGTTCCACGCAAAAACCTACACAAGGACGTTTATGGCAGTTTTGTTGTTGTTGTTGTTGTTGTTTGTTTTGAGATGGAGTCTCACTCTGTCACCCAGGCTGGAGAGCAGTGGCACGGTCTCAGCTCACTGCAGCCTCCGCCTCCCGGGTTCACGCCATTCTCCTGCCTCAGCCTCCCGAGTAGCTGGGACTACAGGCGCCCGCCACCACGCCCGGCTAATTTTTTGTATTTTTAGTTGAGACGGGGTTTCACCGTGTTAGCCAGGATGGTCTTGATCTCCTGACCTAGTGATCCGCCCGCCTCGGCCTCCCAAAGTGCTGGGATTACACGCGTGAGCCACCGCGCTCGGCCCGGCAGTTTTAATCATAACTGTCAGAACTTGGGGAAGAAGCTCGCCAAGATGTCCATGTATATTACTAGTGAAAGATGTTAGTCTTAAAAGGCTACATACTGTATAACTCCAACTATGTGAAAGTCTAATTAAGGCAAAACTGTGAAGACAGTGAAAAGATCAGTGGTTGCCTGGTGTTGGAGGAAGGGAAGGTGTGATGAACAGACAGAGCACATAGGATTTTTAGGACAATGAAAATATTTTGTATGATATTATAATGGTAGATACATGTCATTATACATTTGTCCAAACTCACAGAATATACAATAAAAAGAGTGAAGCTAATGTAAATTACAAACTCTGGATGACAACGATGATTACAATGATATATGATTGTAAATTCATCAGTTTTGACAAATGTACTGGGAGATGTTGATAATGCAGGAGGGTATGCATGTGTAGGGACCAGGGTTATATGGGAAATTTCAATACCTTTCTTTTCATTTTGATGTGAACATAAAATGGCTCTAAAAAACTAAAGACTTTTTAAAAAGGTAATATAGTGGACTTTTTGGGATTAAATATTTTAGTAGAAAACCCAAAAAGAAAATAGCTCTATTAATAATTTAGAGGCAAGTTAGACAAGACTTAACTCCTGAAACGAAGAATAATAAAGTTGACAAGAATTAGAAGAGATTGGCTATGTGCAAATTTATGCACTAGTAGAAAATGTCTGATATGTACTCTCTTAAGAATACATTATCTTATGAAAATAAATCTTAACAATTCCTCTGTAACATCATTAATAAATATCAGGAATATTCTTATAAGTATAAAATACCTTTTATAAAAGGGTATATACTATATGAATCTATTTATATAACATTCTTGAACAGGAAAAATTAATCTGTGGTTAAAACAAAATTGGATTTGCCTTAGAGTAGGAGATTACATTGATGGGCTGAAAATGTATATGAGAGAACATTCTGGCGGTAATGATAATGTTCTAAATCTCATCAAGGTTCTATGTTATTTATTTGAAGGGTATATATATGTGTGTAAAGACACAGCAATTGCACATTTAAAATTTGTGCATTTCATTGTAAAGTTTACATCATTTTTAAAAAGGACTCATATATTAAACTTTAGTTAATGATTTGCATAACGTGAATGTTCATATCTAGTTGGTATTCACTGTAAAATTCTTTCAAATTTGATGTATTCTTGAAAATTTTTCATAATAAAATACTGGAGAAAATGAATAATGAACTTAGGTACTGAGAATAGAGCAGAGGGGAAAACATACTTTTTTCACTTTAAATGGTTTTAAAATTTTATGTCTATTTTACTTTTGCAATTTTTGTTTAAGATGAAGAACCAGCCCAGTCTAAGTGTGATATATCAGCAGTGTCTCAGAACCAAAGTTAAGAGATATCTGTTCCAAGTGATATACATGAATGTGCACATAAAAGTGTCTTATATTGGATAAATAATCTTGCTTGCTCAAGTGTAAAGTTAATTTTTGAATACACAACTGCACAGAAGCTTCAATATGTTTATATATATAATAATTCATTAAGAGGAGATTTAGTAATCCGTGTTTTCTAAAGATTGACTACAAAACCTATGTTGTCCATGAATTAAAGTTTATTGAGCACAATAATAGATATGCTGAGCCTAGACATTGTACAGCCAAAGACATAAACCTCTCTACTGAATTTAATCAAATCAGTTGTACAGTTATCTAAGGTTGGTGAAAGGGAATCAACAAACTTTTGCATCTACAAAATTCAAAAGCGGATGTTTTACTCTACAAAAATATGTGCAACTCTCCATATAGATGGCTCTGTTTATTAACTTAATGTCTGTCAGTACCATTATTTTTGTGTTATGAATCATGCAACTTAAGTTTATTTTAATCTTAACCACTTAAGGAAGTGAATGTAATTAATTGTGTCTATGCAATTTGTCTATAACAATTAATACATAGTTATGGGGACACATTTGAATTATAGTGAGAATAAGCCATTATAATGAAAATGAGGTGGTAGGAAAATGGCCCAGACACAAAATAGACTTATTTTGAAGAAATAAATTTTCTTTGGATTTGGAAATTCAGTGATTTATAGTCGTCTATCAAAATATTATACAAGCTTACCAGAAGACAAGATTTGTTAAAATCTAATAAATTTAAATGGCTTATCTTTGCAAAGTATGATAGATCCATAAGGTATTAGTATAGCAGAGATGGTGCAATACTCAAAATAATTGTCTGAAAATCTTCTTAAAGGTTGCATTGGATGAATTTAAATAACCAGGAACTCATGTATGTACAATGATCATAATATGTAATTAAATTAGGCTGTATTTCATTAATGTGGGATAGCCAAAGTAGTATCAAATAAAATAATTTGAAGAGATCTTTTAATTGTTACAATACATTGGTAGAGAACTCATTCAGTCTCTAGTATGCAATGTATTTCTTCCGATTTGTATGGTATTGTCATCATTACTTTGTAGAAGCACTTCAGATTTTAAAATTGGGCTGCTCATTGTAAAATTATAAGAGCACTCATTTGATAAATAGGAAAATATTGAGAAAATAAATTAAAGGATCATTAAATTTGTATTCCTTTGTAGGGTACTATTTTTGTGTCAATAAATGGCAAGTGTCTAAGACTGAAAGGAAATACATATTATCCAAGGGAGGAAAATGTTTTATGTAAATATCAGATAAAATAATACGTTTCTACTAATAGTGATAAATATAATTGTATAATACATTGAACTTTTACAATAATTTATTTTTCTAGCTCTCTCCGGTCCGTGCCTCGAAGATGACAAAGAAAAGAAGGAACAACGGTCGTGCCAAAAAGGGCCGCGGCCACGTGCAGCCTATTCGCTGCACTAACTGTGCCCGATGTGTGCCCAAGGACAAGGCCATTAAGAAATTGGTCATTCGAAACATAGTGGAGGCCACAGCAGTCAGGGACATTTCTGAAGCAAGCGTCTTCGATGCCTACGTGCTTCCCAAGCTGTATGTGAAGCTGCATTACTGTGTGAGTTGTGCAATCCACAGCAAAGTAGTCAGGAATCGATCTCATGAAGCCCGCAAGGACCGAACACCCCCACCCCGATTTAGACCTGCTGGTGCTGCCCCACGTCCCCCACCAAAGCCCTTGTAAGGAGCTGAGTTCTTAAAGACTGAAGGCAGACTATTCTCTGGAGAAAAATAAAATGGAAATTGTACTTAATATTGCATGTTAAGTGTATCTGTGCCAGATAGGGTGGGGATTTTGTGTGTTAGACCAAGTATAAAGTGACACATATTATTTTCATGGGGAAGAAAGCTTATTCATGTAATTTCATTTTTTTCTTTTTTGTTTTCTTTTTTTTTTTTTTTTTTTGAGACGGAGTCTCTGTCGCCCCGGCTGAAGTGCAGTGGCGTGATCTCAGCTCACTGCAACCTCCGTCTCCCGGATTCAAGTGATTCTTCTGCCTCAGCTTCCTGAGTAGCTGGGATTACAGGTGTCTGCCACCACGCCCGGCTAATTTTTGTATTTTTGGTAGAGACGGGGTTTCACTATATTGTCCAGGCTGGTCTTGAACTTCTGACCTCAGTTAATCCACTGGCCTTGGCCTCCCAAAGTGCTGGGATTACAGGCTTGAGCCACCTCGCCTAGCTATTTATGTAAATTAAACTTTAATTGTGGTTGGATCCTTGGCCTCACGATTTGCATAGCTGTGTGAAATAAAGGGAGATTAGGCATCTGTGAAAAAAAATAATAATTTATTTTTCTAGAACATGATTAAATACAGTTTAATATGCTAATGAATAATATGATAAACCTCTGAGTGTTAATAACTCATTTAGCAAATATTCACTAGTATTGTCAGTGATCACTCATCTCAGTCGCCAGATATTTATGATTTACATCCAGATTTATGAAGCAATAATACTTTAGAAATCTGAACTACTGGTTTGGCTAACTAAAAGTTTACAACCATTTGAAGTCTCAATAACTAACACTCAATGAAACGAAAGTCACTGAATACCTCTAACAGAAATATTTGTAATCATATAATTGGAAAAAATCTTGAACTTAATGTGTGACATTTCTAAAAAGTAACTTAAATATTGCCCATTCTTTTATAGCTTTATACATATTATCTTACAAATTTAGTGATTATTATTATTGTTATTATTATTACTAAATTAAAATTCAAAATTGCTTAAACATCTTTGATTGATAAGTCCTAGTTAAAACCAGGGATTAGTACTGGGATATAGACATATTATAGTTTTACAACCTGCCTTCAGAAATAGTAACTTTAAAACTTAGTACTGTATATGTTTAAGTGAAGGGCATTGTTGTAGCAATATGCAAGATGTGTAAGACTAGTTGTTTTCCTGTCTACCTCATCAAGTGGATTAAGCCATTTGATTGGCTCTGTAATATGCTAACATATCACATACAGATATGTGATTCTGGGGCAGCACAACTTTTTGCCATTTGAAAAAAATGACAATACGGAGGGCTTTGGTGGTTGAAAGGTCTCCTTTTGACCCTATTCTGCCCATCAGTCTAAAATACATATATGTCAGTGATCTAAAATGTCTGGACTTTTTGATTGTCTTCAAGGAGAACTGGGGAAAACTCACTGAAGTCAAAAGACTTTGGAAAACTGCATTACCTTACTCTTTGCTTTTGAAGTATCCTTTAAACTGCATGTTTTCTGATTAATTAACAGCAGTAAATTTAAGTTCAGGTAATTTTTCTCTCCATCTTTTGAACTAAATCTACTGTTTGCATCCTGACCTATTTGTGTTACATATATATTATTTTCCTGGCAATCACCGATATATATATCTGCATATATACTCAAAGCATGTGCCTGTAGTATCATGTAGTGCTTTCCCTGACTCAGCCCTACAATCAGCCATTTCTCCAAATAGCCCTAATTTGTTATTAATATACTATATTATTTAGAAACTAAAATGCAGGTACTTTTATGTGTTATTTGTTACTGGGGTCAAGTTTTTTCCATTCTTTCTCCATTCCATGGACAATGAAAAACACATACACAGAAATACATATTCACATATACAGTATCAATACATGTTTTTAAATGCATTTTACCAATATTTCTAGTACCAATGCAGTAGTACAGACTGCACGCCAATATTGCCTTATTCATATTCTCAACCTCCTTTTCAACACTGTTTCAACAATTACTGGTAAGTTTTAGTGTACTTACTCAATTATAGATTACTGATTATTTCATACATTGAAAATTAAGTAATGTGTGAAGAGGGACAGTTTATAATCTCAGGTTAATTATTTTGTTGTTTATTATGCTTGCTAGGACCACAAGTGTGTTGAAAGTTGAATAATAAGATGAAGCTAGATTTCACACCTTGTTCCTGATTAGATGTGGGAAGTACTAAATATTTCACCACCTAATATGTATTGGGTGTTGGATTTTCATAAATACACTGTAACATATTGAGGATGGGTGTTCAATGCTGAAAAAGTTATATTTCTACTTCTACTGAAATGGCTTGACTGCCATATTGTTTTTTTGTTTTAAATGTTGATACAAAATTGTTGTACATATTTATAGGGTACAGGTGATTTTTTTTTTTCTTTTTTTTTGAGACAGAGTTTGGTTCTTCTTGCCCAGGCTGGAGTGCAGTGCTGCGATCTCGGCTCACTGCAACCTCTGCTTCCCAGGTTCAAGTGATTCTCATGCCTAACCTTCCAGAGTAGCTCGGACTAAAGGCATGTGCCACCACGCCCAGCTGATTTTTGTATTTTCAGTAGAGATGGGGTTTCACTATGTTGGCCAGGCTGGTCTCGAAATCCTGACCTCAGATGATCCGCCCGCCTCGGCCTCCCAAAATGCTGGGATTACAGGTGTGAGCCACTGCGCCCGGCCCATGTGATATTTTCGTCCAGACATATAATGTGTAATAATGAAATATGAGTAATTGGGGATATCCATCACCTCAAGCATTTATCATTTCTTTGTATTAGGAAAATTCCAATTCGACTTTTCCAGTCATTTTGAAATATGCAATAAATTATTGTTAACTATATTTGACCTATTTTGCTACCAAACACTAAGTCTTATTCCTTCTACGTAATTGTATTTTTGCACCACTTACCATTATCTCTTTATTCCCCCCATCCACATTACCCTTCCTCTGGTAACCATCATTCTACTTCTTATCTTCATGAAATCAAATTGTTCTAACTCCCACATGTGAGTGAAAACATGATATTTTTGTCTTTATGTGCCTGGCATATTTCATTAACATAATGACTTCCAGTTTTGTCCATTTTGTTGCAAATGACAGGATTTTGTTCTTTTTTATAACTGAATAATATTCCATTGTGTATAGGTCTCACCTTTTCTTTATTCATTTATCCCACTGATAGAAACTTAGGTTGATTCATAGCTTGGCTATTGTGAATAGTGCTGCAATAACTGGGAGTGCAGATATCCCTTCAAATATACAGATTTTCTTTTTTTTTTTGATATATACCTTGCAATTAGATTGCTGAATCATATGGTAGTTCTATTTTTACCTATAGTTTGTTGAGTAACCTCCATACTGATCTCCATAGTGTCTGTACTAATTTACATCTCCACCAATGGCATACGTGGGTTCTCCTTTCTCCATATCCTCACCAACATTCATTATTGTCTGTTTTTGAGAAAAGCCAATTTAACTGAGGTAAGACGATATCTCATTGTAGTTTTAATTTGCATTTCTCTGAAAATTAGTGATGTTGAATACTTTTTCACATACCTGTTGGCCTATTGTACATCTTTTTTTGGCATATTCTTAATAGACAAATCAACCTTACATTGTCGAGATAAACGCCAATCAGTCTTGCTGTAGTATGTATTTTATGTATTGCCAAGCTTATTTTTATAACATTTCAAAATATTGTTACATTTATTTTTAGGAGAGGTATTGTTCCTCAATTATTAAAAATGTCGTTGTGGGTTATGATATATTCTGAAACAAAATGTGAAATTTTCCCCTTTTATTTTTTAATGAGTTTGTGTTAGAATGTCTTACATTTTTTCAAGTTGGATATAATTCACCAGGTAAATAATTTAAGCCTAAGTATTTTTGGAAGTGGGGAAGAGCAATCATAATAATAAATTCAATTATTTAATATGTATAGTGTTATTCAGATTTTCAATCCATCCATGTCAATCTTCATAACATTTTTCAAGTGAAGGCATTTATTTTAAATTTGTCATATTTATTGGTATACTTTTATTCATAATTTCACTGTAATGTTTTATAGTCTATAAGATCTTTATTGATAATTTTCCTTTCACTCCTATTATTTGTAATTTATATTTTCTCTTTTTATTCTGTGATCTCTGTTGTTATGCATTTGCCATTTTGCTAATCTTTTCAAGTAACCAGCATTTGACTTGCTATTTTTTTCTATTTTGTGAAATATTTTCTGCTATTGATTTTCATATGCATTTATTATTTTCTTCCACTTATCTTCTGTTTAACTTTTTCACTATTTTCTTACTCTAGAATTTTTTTAGTAGTTTTTGTTTTTTAATGAATGTATCTAATCTCTAAATTTTCTTTAGCTCTAACTACAATTTTGTATGTTTGATATGTGGTATTTTTACTATCAGTTCTTTTAAATATTCTATCATATATATTATAATTTATTATTTTTCATGTTATTTTAAAGTAATTTTTAAATTTCTAAATATTTGAAACTTTTCTAGCTAAATTTTCTCATTGTTATATGTGTCTAACTTAATTGTACTTAGACAATATACTTTGTAAGATGTCAATACTTTGAAATGCATTGAGACTTACTTCATGATCAACCTTACAGTCTATTTTGTTGAACGTTTTAAGTGTACTTGAAAACAACTTACTACCCAGAGTTTTGGATGTTGTAATCTACTACAGTGAAATAAGGTAGCAGATACTTGTGTACACCTCTCTCTACATATTATTGTTTTGATTTGTTTTTATTCTAGGTCTATCAATTATTAAGAAAAGTGTATTCAAATCTTCACGCAAAATTGTGGCTTTGTTTATTTATTCTTTAGTTCTGTCCAATTTTACGTATTTTAGGGTTGGGGCATTCACAGATCTCTGACAGAGTCTCATTGTCAGATATATAAAGGATGATGGGCTGTAAAAACACCTATGTACCTCGTTTAGTTCAAATTATGAAAATACTTTCAATGACAGTTTTTATTCCCCATAATGACTTCCAATGGCCCATCATTAATTCATCAGAAAATGAGTTTTGCTCATCACATCAGTTATGTTTTTCTCTATACCACTTACTATGTCCTCTTTGCTAACTAGTGAGGTAAAAACATATAAAATATCTAGCACAATTCATTAATTTACAGATGAGAAAGCTGAGTCTTTGGAGATACTATTTGACTTGCCCACAGTTACACAACTAAATTGTCAAAATATTGAAATCAGAATGCAGGTTTCTTCTCTCCTGGGCTCAGATTCTTAGTACTTGAAGGTAGCTCCTCAAGTATGCTACCTTCTATGCTACTACATATCTTCTTATACAAATAAACTATGGATTTATATTACATTGTATTTTTATGGCTATATGATAGATGAGAGAAAATGTGACTACTTTAAAAGTAAGGGTTGCTAAGATCAATTTTGTTATAGCTGTGCATTTTCTTCTGAAAGCCACATCTTAGAAAAGGAATTAGGAGGAAGAACTAGAATGTAGTTGTGATATTGTACAATAAATATTTGGTCTTTTTCCCATTTCCTGACATACAATTTCTAAGATCCTTAGAATCTCCAACATGATATCTTTTTGTATACTAATGAGTTAACTGATGGCTGGCAGCCCATGAGTAGCTTCAAGACGGAGCCTATTCACTTGAAAGACCAAGGATTGATTCAAGGCTTGGGACTTTCACCTCCACTCTTCAATCTCTAGGAAGGGGAGAGGGGCTGAAGGTTAAGTTGATGACTAATGGCCAATGATTTAATCAATCATGTTTACGTATTGAAGCTTCCACAAAATCCCCAAAGGAGAATGTTCAGAGAGTTTCCAGATAGCTGAACACATGGAGGTTCCTGGTGGGTGGCACACCATAAGAGGGCATGGAAGCTCTTTGCGCCTTCCCATACCTCACTCTATGAATCACTTTTTCTATATCCTTTGCATTCTATTTTATAGTAAACCAGTAAACCTGTTTCTCTAAGTTCAGTGAGCTACTCTTGATTGGACCCCATGTTAAGCAAACCCAAGGATGGAGTTGTGGGATCCTTGATTAATAGCCAGTCAGTCAGAAGCACAGGTAAAACATCTTAGGGTTTGTGGTTGAACTGAGAAGTGGAGAGCAGTCTTGTGGCACTAAGCCCTTCACCTGTGAGATCTGACACTATCTCCAGGTAGATAGTGTGAGAATTAAACTGGATTCAGAACACTTAGCTGATGTCCACTGCAGAACTGATTGCTTGTTTGGGGTACAGGAAGAAACTGGACATTTGATAACAGAAGGCTTCTGTGCTGATTGTTGTAGTGTGAGAGCAGACTAAAAACAAATTGCATTTTTCCTTACAGTAGTGATGAGTTCCCACTGTAATAGACAGTTACCTTAGTTTCTCTCATCTTAGCCACCTGGTGAATTACCCGTGTAAAATACTTTCATTCTTTACTTATCATTATAAATATAAATTAGTATGTATAGTATGGTCTAAGTTTTGGCAAGTATACTTTGTTTCTTTTTTTGTGTAGCAAAGGGGGGTAATAAAATTAATTAGTAGGAAGACCAGCTATAAATTAGTCACATTGCCATTATGATTACTAAATCATCCAAAGGCTCAGAGGTAAAGAGTTCCTCACAAAAATACAATTCCAAATAATTCATTGTACTATTTTCCAAGGTGACTAAAGGAAGCCAAAGTCTCTTAAAATATATATTACAACACTAAAAAGTAGAATTGTAAATTGTATTAATTGGTTAAGTCTTGAACAAGATAAGGCATTCCTGCTATTGTCAGTGCATTAAAATGTGATTAAAAGCAAATAGAAAATCATTCTTGCATATTTTAGATAACTTATTGTGAACTAGTTTTATTTTAACTGTGGACAAAGTTAAAACAATTTTCCCCAAAAATAGAACGCCTACTGAATGTATGGAAGATATCTGTGAGAGTGTGAGTTTTCTTGTGTCTGTAAAGTGAAAGTCTTCTTCAGGTGAAACAAATTTGTGTCATTTAAAGCAACTTATTTCAGAATGCTTCTACAATGCAATGAAGATTAGAGAACAAACTGCGTTAAAATCTCAATTTATTTTCTTAAAGTTTATAAGTTCTCTGCTATTTATTTTGAGGATTTAGGGCATTGTGTTATAATCAGGAGACTATCCTTAGACTACTAATATGGCCTGTTACTTGGATTGGGCCCCACGATTATAATACTTTTTATTCTCTTTCTCTCTGTGCCTCTGTCTGTTCCCATCTCTCTCTGTCTCTGTCTTTCTCTCTTTCCCTCTCTCTAAATATGTATCCTATATCTACATCTATATCTATATCTTATATCTCTTCTTCTCTCTATAACATCTTAAATATCTTTCTGTTGTAAACTTAGAAATCCTTGAGGCAAATCTATGCAAATATATACTTGTCCCTGCATGAATGTAAAACTTTTTTTGAGAGTTTTACTTATAATTGTGTATTTTGCAATCTCGGGAGACTTGACAGAATATTGATGTCAAATTGTTTCAAGTTGTTTAAACTCTTTACCATCCTCTCCTCCACACACATATGCAGATCCCAGGCCTATAAATCACTGGGAAGCATGTGGGTAGAGTTTGGAAGGGCTTATCAATGTATTCCTCCTCCCAAGGAGTTATTTATTTATTTATTTATAATTTATTTACTTACTTTTGTAGAACCTTGTTGCCAACTATCGTGGGCAGAGTAAGAACAGAATCTTCACAGCAATGATAGTTGTCAGCCTTGTCTTTCCAGACTGTAATGCTCTTTCCTTTGGAAATCACTCCAGCTTGAGTGATTGTACAAAATAAATTCCAGGGAGTATAGAATCCATACTACTTAATGTCTGTTTAGATGTAGAGTATGTTTTCAAGTTCATCTGCCTGAATAACTGGATGAATACTAGTAAAAAACAGTTAAGGTTAAGTTAGTAGCCAAAACTGATGTTGCTGGGAAAAGGGGAAATTTTTTAAACTATCTTTCACCTCATTAGCACTTACTAGGGCTTGTTTCCGAGCTCAGAACTTATAGTACAGTCTTTCTGATCCATGGTAAGAAACAACTGAGACATTACCTATTTTAAGGCAGTTAAACCATCATATTAAGTATGTTTAAATATAAATAGAAACTGTGAAAAGTGTATTAAGATGTCAAGAAGAATAACATTTCTCACACAGCTGTTTCCTGGGTTCATAAGAGGAAAAGACATGCTAGCTTAGACTGTATAGCCATCAATGCTTACCACTTAAAGAGAGCTAATGTGTCGACCATAGCAAAATTATAATGAAAAATGAGAATTTTTTTGTTATATACCCCACCCCAAACTTTTCTTCATTTAAGTGTACCTTTCTTGGATTTACCAGCTTTCTTAGAAATGTCAGATAACTACTGCTATATGAGTGATTATATGTGATAATGTAAAGAAGTGTAAGAAAAAATGAATTATTGTTTTATGCCAGTAATTTCTAGAGTAGTATGTTATGAGCAAACAACTAACTGAAACAGACATAGTTATCAAGGGTGGGGTGTTGCTGTAACAAAAACAAAAACAAAAAACTATAATATGTGGCATTTGTCCAGGGAGGAGACAGCAGGCAAAAGGCTGAAAGGGCAGTAAGAAAACTTTTGGTGGAGTTGGGATAACAGTGGGATTGCTGTGGGAGGCTCGAGAAACAGCAACTTCTAGTCGTAGTGGTACAAAAGTTGCAAAACTGTCTACTGAGTTAACTCGAAAAATAGAAAATGAACTTGTGGTTCTGACTAATAAGCTTTCTAGCACAACATGGAAAGTGTCAATTTAATTTTTTAGCTGCATAAGACTTTTAAAAAAGTGTGAAATGAACTAAAGAAGGAATTGTTTAGCTTGCAAGATGAATTTAGAATAAATATGAAGTGTGTAGGACAGATTGAGTAGAAATATAATTCTTTTCAGAAATTCAGTGTCCCCTGGAAGCTTGAGATTCTTAAGGTAAAATCAGCCTAAAGATGAATTGTATTAAGAGTCTGATTATAAAAACATTTCAGTGTCTTAGAAGGTTTTAAAGCTGTGATTATTAGACCATTACAAACAATGGTACTTGTAAAAATCTCAAGAATGTTGTCCTTCACTGGCCTTGTATAACAAAAGTATAAAGAAGCCTGTCTTATGAAAAATTTTAGATCTGGTCTTTGGCACATGGAGGTAAACCCCAATAAAATTCAGAGACAACCTAGAAAATTGAAAGGGAGTTTTCCTAAGTAAATCATCCTTCTATGAAACAAAAAATTGAAGGTGTTAAATATGGAAATGAAAACTGTTCTCTAGGGCCTCAATTTTCTACGTCAAGGAAGAAGGCAGATATCTAATCAGTAGTTATACTCCCATAAGAATTGACAGCATTAGAAACATTGACAGCTTCCAATATTGATTAGAAAGTGGAAAAACTGATTCAAACATTTTCATTGTTGTTTAAGATGGCACAACCACTTGGGAAAATATCTCCCAATTTCAAACAACTAACAAATGTATTAGTCTGTTTTCAGGCTGCTGATAAAGACGTACCCAAGACTGGGAAGAAAAAGAGATTTAACTGGACTTGCAGTTCCACATGGGTGGGGAGGCCTAAGAATCATGGCAGGAGGCGAAAGGCACTTCTTACATGGTGGTGGCAAGAGAAAACTGAGGAAGACACAAAAGTGGAAACCCCTGATAAACCCATCAGATCTCATTAGGCTAATTCATTATCATGAGCATAGCACAGGAAAGACTGGCTCCCAAGATTCAATTACTTCCACAGGGTCCTTCACACAACACATTGGAATTTAAGGAGATACAATTCAAGTCGAGATTTGGGTGTGGACACAGCCAAATCATATAATTGTGCCCTGGCTCCTCCAGATCTCATGTCCTCACATTTCAATACCAATCATGCCCTCCCAACAGTCCCCCAAAGTGTTAACTTATTTCAGCATTAACCCAAAAGCCCACAGTCCAAACTTTCATCTGAGGCAAGGCAACTCCCTCCCACCTATGAGCCTGTAAAATCAAAAACAAGCTAGTTACTTCCAAGATACAATGGGGGTATGGGTATTGGGTAAATATAGCCATTCCAAATGGGAGAAATTTCCAGCAGGGCAGTCAAATTTTAAAGCTCCAAAATGATCTTCTTTTACTCCAGGTCTCACATCCAGGTCACGCTGATGCAAGAGGTGGGTTCCCATGGTCTTGGGCAGGTCCAATCCTGTGGCTCTGCAGGGTACAGCCTCCCTCCTGGCTGCTTTCATGGGCTAGCATTGAGTGTCTGCGGCTTTTCCAGGCATACAGTGCAAGCTGTCAGTGGATCTACCATTGTGGGGTCTGGAAGACGATGACCCTCTTCTCACAGCTCCTCTGAGCAGTGCCCTAGTAGGAACTCTGTGTGGGGGTTCTGACCCCACATTTCCCTTCTGTACTGCCCTAGCAGAGGTTCTCCATGACAGCCCCATCCCTGCAGCAAACTTTTGACTGGGTAACCAGTCATTTCTATACATCTGCTGAAATCTAGGTGGAGGTTCCCAAACCTCAGTTCTTGACTTCTGTGCACCTGTAAGGCTCAACACCACGTGGAAGCTGTCCAGGCTTAGGGCTTCCATCCTCTGAAGCCACAGACCAAGCTGTACATTGGCCCCTTTCAGCCATAGCTGGAGCAGCAGAGACATAGGGCACCAAGTCCCTAGGCTGCACACAGCACAGGGACCCTGGACCCAGCCCATGAAACCACTTTTTCTTCCTGGGCCTCTGGGCCTGTGATGGGAGGGTCTGCCAGGAAGTTCTCCAACATGGCCTGGAGACATTTTTCCCATGATCTTGGTGATTAACATTAGGCCTTTTGCTAGTTATGCAAATTTCTGCAGCAGGCTTGAATTTCTCCTCAAAAAATGGGTTTTTCTTTTCTACTGCATTGTCAGCCTCCAAATTTTCTGAACTTTTATGCTGTTTCCCTTTTAAAATGGAATGCTTTTAATAACACCCCAGTCACTTTTTGAATGCTTTGCTGCTTAGAATTTTTTTTCTGCCAGATACCCTAAATCATCTCTCTCAAGTTCAAAGTTCCACAAATCTTTAGGGCAGGGGCAAAACAAAATGCCATTAGTCTCTTTGCTAAAACATAACAACAGTCACCTTTACCCCAGTTCCCAAAAACTTCCTCATTTCCATTTGAGACCACCTCAGCCTGGACCTCATTGTTCATATCACTATCTTCATTTTGGACAAAGCCATTCAACAAGTCTCTAGGAAGTTCCAAATTTTCCCACATTTTCTTGTGTTCTTCTGAGCCTTCCAAATTGTTCCAACCTCTGCCTGTTACCGAGTTCCAAAGTCAATTCCACATTTTCAGGTATCTTTTCAGCAACATGCTGCTGTACTGGTATCAATTTACTGTATTCGTCCATTTTCAGGCTGTTGATAAAGACATACCCAAGACTGGGAAGAAAAAGAGGTTTAATTGGACTTACAGTTCCACATGACTGGGGAGGCCTCAGAATCATGGCAGGAGGTGAAAGGCACTTCTTACATGGTGGCGGCAAGAGAAAAATGAAGAGGAAACAAAAGCGGAACCCCTTGATAAACCCATCAGATCTCTTGAGACTTATTCCCACAACACATGGGAATTCTGGGAAATACAATTCAAATTGAGATTTGGGTGGGAACACAGCCAAACCATATCACCAAATACATACCTATTTAATAATCCAGAAAATACAATCTTATGTACTTACTCAAGAGAAGTGAAAATATTATCTACAGAAAGACATATATATCTGATTTGTTCATAGGAGGTTTATTCATGACAGCCTCAAATCAGAAACAACTACATATCCATCAATAGGGAAATATATTAAAAACAAAACAAACAAATGCTCCCAAACCTGTGGTATATTCATAAAATAAAGTATTACAAAATAAAATGATCAATAAAAACAAAAAGATGAGTGTCACAAACATGTTTTGTGAATGTAGCCTCACATAAATGAGTGTAATTTATAGCTTCACTTACAGAATTGATTATAGTAGGCAAAACTAACCTTTTGTAGAAAGAATCAAAACAATTGTAGCCTGTGTTGAAATTTTGACTGGAAAGTGCCAAGAGAAAATATATTTCTAATAGATATTCTGCATGTTTTATGTGCACTAACTAATGGATAGATAAGTAGATAGATGATTGATAGATAGAAGATAGATACATAGCTAGATAGATAGATAAATGATAGATAGATAGATAGATAGATAGATAGATAGATAGATAGATAGATAGATAGATAGATTTTTTTCCCCTACAAAGCCATTAAAAAGTATTGAACACAAGGAAGTCTGAAATAGAGCAAGCTGGATGTAGTGGAAGAAAGGATTGGTAACTTGAAAATAATCTAATAGAAATTATTCAAAATGATCATAGACTAAATACAGAAAATAAAATAAAATAGTGTTATGTGGAATAATAGCTAACAGAATAAACTTTGTGTATTTGGATTTTCAGAATAATAGGTGGACAAAGAGGGAGAAAAATATACATATAGATAGAAAATGTCAGAATTTGTTTTTTTCAAAACTGACGAAAGAACATCTATACACAAGCCCACAAAGCAGAGTGTATCTTAAGCTGGATAGTTAAAAAGAAAAAAAAACATGTTAATAATATTTATTTTGGATACTGTACTGATGTTTTCTATTTATTTAATATTGTCTCCAGTACAAGTGAAATTAATGGACAGTGATGACTAGATGACTATATATGTGATAGAGCAAGTAAAATTAGAGTTTCAGTTATGGGCATGAGTGTACACTGCAATATATTTTCAATTTTTGTCTTTGAATACATTTCAATAAAATATTGAAAAACAGATCAAATTACTCAAATAGATATTTTATAAAATGATATATTCTAGAGACCAAATAACATATGAAAATGTACACAGTATTATTAGTTATCAGGAGAATGCAAATTAAAACCACAATGCAATACTATTACACACCTACCAGATGGTTACGTTTTAAAAGACTGAAAATACACAGTGTTGGAGAAAATGTTTGGCAACAGTAGCTTTTACACATTTCTGGTTTGAATGTAATTGATAAAACCACTTTAAAAATGTGATGTCAATTTCTTTCATGTTTTAACATATACCTACCTATACCCCTGCATTTCTTCTCCTAAGTTTGTATCAAAGAAGAATAATGCCTATGTGCATAAAACATCTTATACAATTTTTTTAAAATTTTACTTTAAGTTCTGAGATACATGTATAGAACGTGCATGTTTGTTACACAGGAATACATGTGCCACGGTGGTTTGCTGCGCCTATCAACCCATCATCTAGGTTTTAAGCCCCACATGCACTAGGTGTTTGTCCTAATCCTCTCCCTCCCTTTGCCCCCCACCCCACAACAGGCCCTGGTGTGTGATGTTCCCCTCCCTGTGTCCATGTGTTCTCATTGTTCAATTCCCACTTAACATTTTTATTCTATTGGATAAAAACAAATCTAAATGTTTTTCAATGGCAGAATAAACTGTGGTGTAGTTTGAGAAGTATACAAATTAATTCAGATTGACACTAATATGAAAAGGGTTTGCTATGTGAGGAGGGCATTAACTAGGGAAGGCTATGGGAGTACAAATGTTCATCTCAGTTTGGTTAGTGATCTTCTTTGGGTATTAATATGAAAAAATACAAATAAAATAATTTTAATTAAATAGGAATGCTTAAATATTTTTGAATACATGATATCATATCCTCAGTTGAAATCTCTGTGCCACACACTCTTCATTTGCTTGCTCACTCATTCTCTTAATATATATTAATTAAAGATTTACTATGTACCAACCAGTAAGCTTAAGGATGGGAGTTCAAAGTAAGTAAGATATTAACTCTGCCTTCAAGAACCTCTCAATTCTGTAAAGAAAACGAGCACAGGAATCCATAATATGTTACTAATTCTTTCTATATTAACAGTATTTAATTGTATATAGTGCCTCTTATATTGAAGTTGTAATTATTTTGGGAACATAACAGAAGGAGTAAGGAGCATATCTAAACGATTTTTTCCTGTCTTATTTTAATATACTGAATTGCCACTACCTACACTAGCACCCTTCCTATAGTCCAGATGTAAGAAATACATGTAACCAATCAATCAATCAATCCGGTGCTTATTAGTTCTTTTTTTTTTTTTCAGTCCTAACCAGTAGACACAAAATTAACCCTATTCCGTTCTACTGCCAGCTGCTAGGAAAAGATGGGTTGATAATGAACTGATGATAAACTGCCTTTTCAGAAACTCAATAATAAATAATTTATTGGAAATACCAAGACTAATTATAGGAAAAAAATAAATTTGGAACCAAAGTCAGAATGGAAAAACTGAAGAGAGACATGCAGAGAAAGTACTCAAATTTTGACATAGTTTTTCCACCATGAAAACATCTTCCATTCTCACTTCTGAAGGAAGAAGTTTCTTCCTTACCATTGTATTTCCTCTTTTCAGTCTGCAACATAAGACCCAGCTTGAAACTGTCTTTTCCCCTGTCTTCTACTAAAAGCACCCAGAATAGTAAATTCTCTTTTTTGGTGGGCTCCTCCCGTAGACTTTTCTTTCAATAAAGTTGTTTTCAGTTCAGATGGAACCATCCTCCTCTCTATGAAATTAGTTATAATGAGGGCTAACTAGGTGCAAGGAGGGATGTTTAATGGGTTGATTCCAGGGGATCCAAGGTTAATGTGTAATATTTTCAATTATTTTTTCAAACAGTAGCTTTAATTTTATATTTTTCTGAAATAAAACGAGAGCATGTCATTTATGCAAGCTGTAAGCACCTTCTTAATTGTAGCATCAATTCAGAGATGAATAAATAATTGAGCTAAGAGGTCTGTCAGAGTAAGGGTTAGGCTTTATTTTGAAATTTCTTTCTTAAGAGTCCAAAGAATTAAATTACACGGTTATAAATTCATAGCTCAAATAAAAAATCAAGTCATGCAAAGCAAATACTGTTCCTGTAAAAAGTCACATAAATAGAGAAAAGCTGAATCAAGGGGAAAGCTTGGCAGATATGTAAATATGCTCACCAAAGCTATTTTCTTACCAAAGCCAGATTGATGTCCCTGCACTTAAAAAACAAATTATATTACCACCTGGAAATATCCACCTTTATAAATATGTATACCTAAGGAAAGAATGATCTAGGCAAATGCACATTATGTAATGTATGCTGAATTTTACCTAGTGATAAAAATTGAAAAATGTAAAGTCAAATAACAGTGGATTTGAAAGAGTTTTTAGACACAGCACTGAGTACGTCCACTGCTGGGTAGACAAGGAACACCAGTTCTACACAAACCCTGACTCATTTTCCTACCAGAAACATTTCAGAGGCATACATATGTACTACTGCCTAGGAAACAATCCACTTAAATGAATCTATGACTGAAGGGGCTTGCATACAGCATCCAAGAAATAGCCGTTTCTTTATCTGTCCAGTTGTTCCAGAAGATGTGTTTACTGCTTTACACTGGGATTGGGATGGGTGATCTTAATCTCCACAGTAAGTAGCCAGATGATATCTTTACAGGAGCCCATATTCTCAGATATTTTATGCTTTTTCTTAATGACAAAATTCCCTCCTGAAGTTTTCATCCGCCACCCACATGTGCAGCCTGATTGCTTGGCTGAGGGAAGGGATGTGTTACTTTGATAGGTGTGAATGCATCTATGGGAACATTTCCTTGAGATATTGGTTTGTTACTGTTATTGTTTCATTTGTTGCCTGCCTCTCTAGGACTAAAAAAAATCTTTCCTGATGATCTTGCAATGTATTTTCCTTAATACAAAAGAAAAATCAGGTAATATTTCACTGGGGTGGAGTTGATTATAGACTTTTGGGAGCTTTTATTCAAATTAAATATTTTCTCACCCTGGGTGAAGCTTTTGTCATTTGGCAGCACTGAATAAGAAGACAGGTCATGTGATGGAAGAATTCCAGGAAGAACTCCAGGAATTTACTGTTTAGCCAGCCTTATCTAGCCAAAGTGCTTTTTCTTACACTAGCAATCTGAGAGAATGGATGAGAGTGCCATTTGGCCTTTCTCAAGTAAACGTCCAACATAACGTAACTCCTATAAATATAAAAAGTAAAGTTTGGGCCCTTGTCAATAACCTCATGGTAGTACAAATTAACACTAAAGCAAAAGCTTTCACTGAGTTATCAAGTTTATTTTATCTATTCTCTTGTCTCCAGAGACTTTCTTTTCTCTCTTCGTTCAACTCTTTGCCAAAACATTTCACTTTTGAAGACAACACAAATTTATGTTTTAGAACTGAAGTGGTGTTATATTGCAGGCTGTATTTTGCCATGACAGAGCAAGATTTTTCTTATGTTAGTAAAACAGAACATCAATTAGTTATTTTTCTTATATGTAATTTTGTGAAAATTATATAAACTCTTTCACTTAGTTTTATTGTAAAGACTACCTATATTATTTCTTCAGCATCCCCTACGTGACTTTCTATTCTTTCACTATTTTAATATTTTCTCTCCATAGTTTTAGATGTTTTGCCTTGAGAGTAGGAGTTTTCTGATAAGCTTTGGTTTCATACATATTTGCTTTCTCTTGTATTTGACAAATACATAATGTGAAATTCTTTATATAATTTTAAAATCCAGCATGTATAGGAATCACACTGAGTTATCAGGATGTATTCAACTTGATTTTTATCATGTGACTCCTTCAAATAGAGAGATTATTTCCATGAAAGCTAGCCAGACGTTTCATTCATTTCAATATATTGAACCTTTGTATAGTTATAAAGATACATTTTGTGATAGTTTCAAATTTATGGTGAATAAATATAATACATTAAGTAGCACAGTACCAGGTTTAGAGATTTTGTTAGTATTCTTTTTTTAATGGAAATTTCCCCACCAGAAAAAATTATGAAATAATGGTTAATTTCTGATGCAGCACCACTAAACACTCAAATCTATACGTTAAATCACTGATTTCATTCAAGCACTCACACATGGCCTAATTTAAATGGCAACTTAACATGAATTGACGTGTATACTATTTTTTTTTTTTCTGGATGACCATAAAATGTATTATTTCTAAATTTATCAATTCTAGCAGTATACACCACAATGTATCCTAGCAACAATTAGGTTAGTCATCAATCCCATTAATCCCCATTCTGTGAAAAGTAAATTTCCTCTTGCACTATTTTCCTTTCTCCAGCCTATAGTCAGTAGCCCATCATTATAAGAACTGTCTTCCAAAACCTCTTAGCTCTCTTGCTCCTCTTCTTCTATTTTCATCATTTCACAAGCTTGCTATCTATTTTCTCAGTTTCTTTATCCATATAGCTGAGTATTGATGCTGAAAATCCCACAACTCCAAAAATTAATGTTTGGGGTCAGAGCCACAAATATGCATGACTTCAAAAGGCCTAGCAAAACTGTCTGCCTATTCTACTAATAGGATTTTTACTCTCCTAACTTCAAAAAAGATTGTTTTGCATCTTTTTCTCACATCTACCTATCACATCTACCTTTATTTTCAGTCAATCTTAACCTAAAACATAGAAGTCACCAGATTTGAACTCCTAGATCTTTCCATCAACAATTCCTAGCTAGTCTGCCTAATATTCAAGTCGTTTCATCACTTGTGCACCTCCTAACTCATGTCTTCCTTTCCACTCTGTGCACTTGGTGGTTGGCAGTTTGCCTTGAATTCAAAGGCAAATAAAAGTAATTGAGGGGCTGCTAGTGTTAAAATTGTACTATAAGTTCTGCGAAAGAAGAGACATTAGAATGTTTGTTGAAGGAATGAATGATTGATTCCCATTGAGACAGGCAGGCTGGTTGGTTTACTGTTTTGATGTAATTTAGAGAAAAAGAACAAAAGCTCCTTACTCAAGCTGTAGCTAACCTAACTTCCAGCCAATCACCAACAAAAGACCCAAGAAGCTCTTAATCACAAATTTCTGCTTTAGAGGGCTAGGAAGTTACCCAGTACACCTCATGCACACTTAGACTTATCTTCAACTCATAATTATCCCTCCCTCATTTTAGTGGTGTGAACCCAAAAGGATCTGAGTCAAGCTTCAATTAATTTACAAAGTTTATTTTGACAAGATTCAGGACGTGCCCATGATACAACCTCAGGCGGTCCTGATGATATGTGCCCAAGGTGGTCAGGGTATAGCTTGCTTTTACACATTTTAAGGAGACATAATACAACAATCAATACATGTAAGATTTACATTGGTTCAATCTGGAAGGGGAAGACAACTCAAAGCAGCAGTCATAGGTAGATTTAAAAGTTTTCTGATTAGCAGTTCATTGGAAGAGTTATTATCAATATAAAGGGATGTCTAGGTTCTAATAAGGGGTTGTGGAAGCCAAGGGATTATCATGCAGCTGAAGCCTCCAAGTAGCAGGCTGCAGAGAGAATATGTAAATGTTTCTTATCAGACTTAAGGTCAGTGTTAATGTTAAGGCTGGTCAGCTTTTCCTGAATTCCAAAAAGGAGGAGAGTATAATGAGACATAGTTGACCACCCCGCTACCATCATGGCCTGAACTAATTTTGTCCAGTTAACTTTGGAATGCCCTGGGCTGAGAAGAAGGGTCCATTCAGATGGTTGGGGAGCCTTAAAATTTTATTTTTGGTTTACCATGCTAAAAGTTATGCCCAGGGGTGGAGACTTAAAATGCTAATGTTATATGCAGTGTATGAGAAAGCATGTGAAGTGACTACTCAAGAGCTAGGAAAACCCCTCCTATATATGCCTTGATGAAACCCTTCCCTATAGGGAGGCCATATACAACTAACCTACATACTACCCTTGGGGAATAACCTATCTTTTTTCTTTCGTGGTGCTGACTTCCTCATGCAAAAGCTGAGACAAATCTTCCTCTGGTCTCTGTGCTGCTGTGTCTGATGATCTCTCTTGGTTTCTCTCCTGGGAGATGATAAGAACCCAGGGCAATAATAAGACCATGACTGAAGAAGGTAGACAAATTGAGCATTTGCAAGACTGTTGCATATGTATAATGGTGCTGTTTTAATATGAATTGTTAATCAGATAATCTGTTTACCCTAACAGATTACGTGTTAACCTTTATTCACTGTAACAAAAACAAGGACTTTAATTAATGGTACAGTTGGAAATTTTTGACATAGTTTATGCTTGAAGGGGAACTATAAAAACAATACAGTAACAAAAACAAGAAAACAAGAGCTATCATTTTTTATTATTTTAGTATTTACTTTATGCCAATCACTTCAGTTAATGTTTGAGATGCATTATATTATTAAATATTTGCTCCATTCTGAGAGAGGCACTCATTACCACCATTTTATAGAGCAACAGTTCTCAACTTTTTTGGCACCACGGACCTGTTTCATGGAAGACAATTTTTCCAAGGACCAGGTTGGTGGTGGGGGGATGGTTTGGGGATGATTCAAGAACATTACATTTATTGTACACTTTGTTACTATTATTACATTATAATATATAATAAAATAACTATACAACTCACCATAATGTAGAATCAGTGGGATCCCTGAGCTTGTTTTCCTGCAACTGGACAGTCCCATCTGGGGGTAATGGGAGATAGTGACAGATCATCAGCATTAGAGTCTCATAAAGAGACTGCAACCTAGATTCTTTTCATGTGCAATTCACAATAGGGTTCATGCTCCTTTGACAAGCTGATGCCTCTGCTGATCTGATAGGAGGTGGAACTCAGGTGGTAATGTGAGTGATGGGTAGTGGCTGTAAATACAGATGGAGCTTTGTTGGCTTACCTGACGCTCAACTCCTGCTGTGAAACCCAGTTCCTAAGAGGCTATGGACTGGTACGGGTCCCTGGCCTGGGGTCTGGGGACCCCTGTAGTAGAGGAAGAAGTTAATGTTAAGGGGTCATACATAACTTACACAGGATCATTTTGCTGACAAGAATATATCCAGAGCCCTTGAATCCAGGGTCCAAATTATTAACAATAACTTCTTCCTTTTCTAATAATAATATCTGAAGATGTCACTGAAGTCACATTGAGAAAGAAGCTTACATTCTTGTGTAACTTTGAAAAGACCTATATTCAGATTAAGTAGTCAGCAATGACAATGATCTAACAATTAATCTTTTTTATTCTAGCAATGACTATGTTATTTCTTAATACACCCAGTGAAAGTTAGTCTCTTATATACTATTTTATTCTAAATAATTAACTATCCTAAGACAAAGAGCCCTAAATATAAATATCCACATTCAGTTTTATCACATTCAGGAGGTTTCATTTTAATCTGTTTCATTTATCTGTTAAGTACCAAGGGATCTTTGTCTCAGTCAATACTCTGATCTTTTTAAATTGAATTATCCTCCTTCAGGGACATAGCCTGATAGAAATGATTTAAGTAGCTAAAACAATTTGAGTTTCTTTCCTTTTTTCAGTTTGAATTCTATTAAAATAAGTGCATTTTATTCTTAAATTTAAATACTAATACTTGCAAACTTTGTTGTATATGTCTAGGAACTAAACTTAGAAAAATAGACTTTAGATATTTAGGTACTTACTTTTTAAAAAATCTAATATATGCTCCTTGAAGGATGCTGGTGACTTTTAAATCTTTTTAAAAATTGTTTAATTACAATTGTTTTAAAATTTATAAAACCATGCTTTCTTGTTTTGTTTTGTTTTTGAGACAGGATCTCACTCTTATCCAGGCTAAAGTGCAGTGGCATGATCATAGCATACTGTAATCTTGAACTCCTGGGCTCAAGTGATCCTCCTGCCTGAGTCTCTCAAGTAACTAGGCCTATAGCTGTGCACCACCACACCCAACTACTTTTTGTAGAGATGAGGTCTTGCTGTGTTGCCCAGGCTGGTCTGGCACGCCTAGCCTCAAGCAATCCTCCTTCCTTGGCCTCCCAAAGCCCTAGGATTACAGGCATAAGCCACTGCACCTGGCATAAAACCATGTTTCTGAAGATATTACGAACAAATATGGCAAATTGAGTCTTATTTTAGCCTTATCAAATTCTGTTCAATATTTGGAGTTGTCTTGAGATGAATTTCCTTCAGAAGTAAGAAATCCCTTATGATATAAATAATTCTCACCCTGGTTTAGTTAGTTTAGACTGTGGTAGATGGATTTTGACTCTGTTGAATTATAGATATATTAGCCAACAATTCTGTCACATGTAGTTAAAAAATGGAGAGGTTCCTGTTAAGAGCACTGCTTCACCTGGTGGCCTTTAGACTATACTGTATACAGAAGACAAACAATTTAATTGATTGTCAAATGACAATGACAAAATCTCTACCTAGTAACCGATGCAGATTTTTCTCTTTAACTATAATTAAAAATATTTCTTTCAACTTTAAAAACCTTTAAATCAGGAATATTGAAACCAAGTTTTTACTGGGATGGAATATAAAGGGTGATAATTTGCCCCGGTGTGGCTTGCTAGCAGCTTTGCTCTCATGTGTCGTGTTTCTATCGTTTTACACCAGCATTCAAGGAAAAAATTGTCTGTGAATTTAAAACAAAAGCACAGACACAAGAAGTGTATACATGTACAAATAAAATTTCGGGAATAAATGTTACGTTAAAGGTTTAAATTAAATATGCTAAAGGTTAAATTAGCTGTGATCAATTGCCCAAATGTATTTCCCTAAGATATGACTATATATTTCTATCCATTACCTACCTATCAATTGTCTATCTGCCTACCTATTTATCTACTGTAATTAGAACTTGAAAAGCTATGCTCATTTGCTACGTGATCTTCAAGAATGGGATTCTTTGATGAGCAATTGTACTCAATATATTGACTCACATGTCCCAAACTTTTCTTTTTTCAAAGAAAAAAAATAACTGTAACTCAGTACCAGTGAAAACATCAGTATTACTTTTTCTTACATCCTAAATGATATACCTTAGGAAAAAAAAAACAGAAAACCCTATCAAATTATACTGAAATAAATTTGTAAGACAAACAGATTTTGGCTTAATGTATAGGAAAATTTTTTAATCTTTACCTAAGGATATGAATGACTGTAAACTCACACATCTAATACAAATGTATAATAATCATGAATGTTTTCTAAGGTCTGCTATTATATACTTTTTGCTAAATTGACTACTGTCTCTCACTTGAATTTTCAGTTGGTTGAGAAATCCCACTTAAAAAATACTATTCCTGGAGCAAGAAACTTCATTTTCAATAGGGCTATATTTACCTTCCTGTATATGTTCTATGAGATCCCCAAGCAAAAAGAAAAAAAAAAATTGGGTTTTAGCTTTTCAGAGATCAAAACTACTGATGTTCATTTTATTTTTTCCTCTTCTGCATTATCGAGCGAAAAGACAACATGAGTAGTAGTAACCCTGGCCCCATTCTATTAGAGAGGTGTCAATATATCAGATCATTTGGTGGTTGATTGGGTTATTCTAAATCCTTAATAATTATATTTTTAAACTGACATCTTGTAAGGAAAGCAAAATAAATAAGCAAAGCTGAATCTAATCTAGAATGTGTTTTTGTGTTTATTATACTGTAGTTTTTAGGAAAAGTTCTTATGCATTTCCCCATACCCATACCTACGTGTATCACTATGTTCTAACATAGCAGTTACTATTGAATGTCTCCCTTCCTCCTCATTACCATTTTTGTTATCTTAGTTTATGAAATCACAAATTTCTATAGGCTAAAGTATTTTGTCTTGTCTTTACTTCTTTCTCTAAATTTAGAATCTGCCCTTTATTCCACCTGTTCTTCATTTTTCATTTTATTTTCAGAACAATCTTTTTAAAACAAAACTCTTCATTTCTCTTTTTGAAGTGGGGAAAGTAATTAAAACAGAGCAAAACAAAAAAAGTACCAAAGTGCATGCCCTGGCCTAAAATACTGTTTGTTCATGATTGGGCTCTTGCTAACTTTTTCTTAATTCCTGCAATCCCCATATATAATCTGCACATAGGTAGTATTCAATTATTTGAGATTTCCCAAATATGCAGTAACAGATAGTTATGCTTTTCCTTATAACATCCTTTTTCAAAAAAAGCTATCCTTCTTGTATTTAACAAGCACTCTTTCAGTCACTGTTTACCTCACAGCTCTCGAGGAAACCTTCTCTGGTGATTACCCCCCTCATGGGAAACCTCCCCTGAATTCCACCAGCCTTTGAGCATACCTCTGTTGTTGCACAGATCATGTTGTAATTGGCTTGTTCAACACTATATCTCTAAAAACGTATGCGGAACCTGGCAGGTCATAGATATTTAAAACTATTTGTAGTATAAAAGATTTTATTTTTAAACTGTATGTTTACATGTCTACGTGCCTTATTAGTATGAATACATTGAGAATTAATGCCAACTCTAATTTATCATTATCAATGATATTTTCTCCTTAAGTGATATATAATAATATGAATGAAAAGTAAAAATATTCAATTTCTCCAATCCAGCTTTGCTCACCTTCTTTATCTCTCACTCAGACATCACCAGAGTTAAGCTCTGTTGACAGTTGGAAAATCTTTCTGATGCCTTCTCTGCTGGCTCAGATAAATACTTAAATGCATGTAGAAACAATAAGACATATGTCTTATTTGCAAATAAATTGTATTATATGTGTTCATATACGGAGATGTGTATATATATGTCTGTACATGTGCATATGCATTTGAAACTGGCCTTTTCATTACTCTTATTGTTTTATTTAATAATACTAGGCATATTTATCCATGCTGCTCTGTGTAGATCTACCTCTAATTTTTAGTGGCTACTTAGAATTCTATTACTTGGACATGTCATATGGCACTTTTCCAGAGTGGCATTGAGGGTCAAATAACTTTTTTCAATTCCTTTTCCTTATAAACAAGATTGTACTGCACAATCCCACTCTGAATGCCAACCCACTCTCTCTCCACCACTCCACACTACTTAGCTAAATGTCTACATTTGAGAGAGAGAGAGAGAGAGAGAAAGACTAATAGATATATACTTTTGCTGTTTGTTAGCTTTTGTTTTTTAAATAGATTTTATTTTTAGACCAGATTTAAGGTCATAGCAAAGCTGAGCAGAAGGTTCAGAGATTTCCCACATACCCCTTACACCCACACATGCATAGCCTCTCCAGTTATCAACATCCCTCACCAGAGTGGTGCATTTGTTACAATTGATAAACGTATATTGACGCATTATTATCACTGAATGTCCATAGTTTACATTAGGGTATTTTCTTTGTCATGTACATTCTATGGGTTTGGACAAATGTATAACATCATGTATCCACCAATATAGTATTATACTGTGAAATTACACTGCCCTAAGAATCATCTGTGCTCCTCCTATTCATCTCTCCTTCCCCTCAACTCCTGGAAACCTCGATCTTTTCACTTCTCCATAGTTTAACATTTACCAGGATGTCACACAGTTATAATTATATAGTATATAACTTTTTTTTCCCAGACTAGCTTCTTTCACTTAGTAATAATGTGTTTAATTTTCCTTTATATCTTTTCATTGCTTGCTGGATCATTTCCTTTTAGCACTGAATAATATTCCATTATCTGGATGAACCATAGTTTGTTTATGCATTCACCTACTGAAGGACATCTCAGTTGCTTCTAAATATTGGCAATTGCAAAAAAAAAAAGAAAATAGATTCAGTAAATTTCTATGTGAAGGTCATTGTGTGGATATAAGTTTTCAACTCTTTTTGGTAAATATTGAGAAGTATGATTGCTGATTCATATGGTCAGAGTACACTTGGTTTTGTAAGAAATCTCCACAAACTTTTCCAAAGTGGTTGTACAATTTTGCGTTTTCACCAGCAATGAAAGAAAGTTTCTTTTGTTCCATATCTTCACCAATATGTAGTACTATGAATGTTTTAGATCGTGACCATTCTAATAGGTGGGTAGTGGTATCTCTTTTTAATTTGCATTTTCCTGATTTTTATGATGTGCTTGCTTGCCATCTCTATATTTTCTTCAATGAGGTGTCTGTTAAAGTCTTGTGTCCATTTATTAATCAGTTTGTTTGTGTTCTTATTGTTGAATTTTAAGTATATACAAGTTTTAAATGTTAATGACACTGTCAACTTTTCTGTCAGTAAGTTTATATTACTTTCTGTGCTACTCAAACTTCTTGAGTTTAAATTGAATTGATCTTTTCCATTTATCCACTTTTTAGAAAACATATGCTCTATTAATTCTTTCAGTATTTATGTTTTTTGTTATTGCCTTTTCACTTGTTTATAGGTAATTTGTATCTTCTTTTAGAATTATTCAGTCTTGTCCTTTACCTATGTTCTTATGTTGTTTGTATTTTTCTCATTCACTTGAGTTTTAAAATATATTCTAGCTGTTTAATCTTTGTCAATGATATATTGTAAAATCTTTTTTAATCTGTCAATTGTATTCTATTTTTTTATTTTGCTCCACATGTGGACCTTACATTTTTATAAATTCTCATCTGTACGTCTTTTTTTTTCACAGCTTCTAGGATAAATAATGAACTTATAAAAGTTATCTTTTTCCGATAAGCTTAATACTTTTTTTCTAATTTTATTACTATTTATTTTACTTGTGACTGCATATCAGTATTATAAAATACCAAGCGTTATATAAAAGTAGAAAATTGGAAGAAAAAATGCTATATACTTTACCTCCTAGAAATTAAAAAAATAAAATCAGCCATAAAATGTTATTATATTAACTGCTATCTAAAGTCAGATGCAGATGTAGTGATCACAGTACAATATGAGTGTATGCTACAGCACCTACAATTGAATGATGTAGTATGAGAAAGACATTTCGAAAAGTATCGCGCCAGAAGCTAAACTGGAAAACTCATCCAAGTGTTGGGGAGAGGGGCTGCAAACTTTATTAAAAGACTCTCTCAAGTTAACAAAAGCCCTAAAAAAATACATGATATTGACAACAGCATGTTGGGAATCTGAAACACAGTATTCTAACTTCTGAATATTACATAATAATCCTTGGGGAAGAAAGCAATGCAATATAATTATCTTATGAAAGACAATAAAAATGCTATCAATAAATGTAGGGGAGAAAATTATTATAGTGGTATATGAGGCACTTAACAAAAATACTATTTTGTTTTTTTGTCTCTTGTGATGTTGGAGTTATTAGTCAAACCCTTTTAGATTTGTATTTTGTATTTGTATTTTTTCTTATTCGAAATTGATGTTTAATTTTATACCTAATTCTGTATTCATAATTTTAACTCCTTTTCTTAAAAAAGGAGTTGCATCAAATTGAGTAAGCTTCAGGACAGCCCTTATCTAGGTCTTCATATCTCTCATGCTGAGTCAAAATTTCCTGTGTTAAGATTTGACTTTTCAATATGAAGGTACAGTTTTTCTCTCAATTCAGTGAAATTTCTCTCTATTACATCTCACCAAGACTTTTTGAGTTTAGTTTTGTTTATTGGGTGTTCTACTTTATGAATTATTTTTATGGTCTTTGCCCTTCAAGTATTTTATTTTTTTCCATAATTCCCTTCAAATGTTTACCTGTATCACATAAATTTATTATGACATCTCTAGTATTTTCTGTGTCAAATATTGAATTTTAGAAATATCTAATGGGTTCCTCACCACTACTAGCTACTCAGTAACTCCAGAATACATTAAAATCTAAAAAATAATAAACATTTTTGATCTCTTGACTCAGCTTAGAATTATTTCTGTTGTTGTTGTTTTGGTATCTTCTCCAAATTGTAAACAATCTCTTACTTGAGGTATATCAGTAAAAACTATCTAAATTTCATAGTTTCAGTTTTTTCTTTGTCTTGAGAATGGCTTTTAGTCTGGAGAAAGGGTTTAGAAACTTGTCAGGCCAAAATATCCAGAATATTGCTTTCTTTATGTAGTTACCCATGCTCCAATTGTTTAAAATACATTGCTGTTATTAGTAAGAAATAGAACATATTTATGAAATGATTCCATCAAAATTATTTGGATATTTTCATATATTTATTCTTATTTTTCATGTGTCTATGTTTAACTACATAGGATTTTTTTTCAATGTGTGGATATGTATACAGGAAAATTCAGAGATTTTTAAGATTGGGTAATTGGCCAGTTTGTGAGCATTTACAGTGTTTTAAATAACTTTTATCTTTCAATTAGAAACACACATCAGGCATACCATACACTCTGTCATCATTTTTCCAGTAGTTATACATGTACTTTATTTTCCTTATCTTATTGAGTAGTTCATAAGACATTTGTTTAAAATACTTTCTGTAAAACTCGGAGACAATAAGGTGGGGCTCTGCATTTATGTTCTTGTTGAGTTCTTAGTAGTCCGAATCTTATGCAATTCACCAACTATATTTCTACAAGCAATGTAAATTGGGAAAAAAATCGGGTACTAAAATGTTTATTTTTATAAATGAGCTAAACTTAAAAATGATCCAAAGGGTAAGTTCACAGCAAGCATTCATTTCTTTTCCCTTCATGTAATTTGCATGCAAGTCAGGCATTTTCACATATTTTTATAAATCCTTTTCTTGATTTGTTCTCCGTCTTACAATAATTTTAATACACAATTTTTTTACTCTAGTTAATGGGATTTTTTAAGTGCCCTGAATTCCATTTCAGAATTATGAAGGGAATTAAATATTTATGTTACATGGATAATAGTATTCAATATTCATCAAACGCATGCAAAATAAGCAATTAAGAATATGCAACTGTATCCCATTATGAACATATCCTTGATACACCTTCCAAACTTAAATTCCAAATTCTTTCTGCTATTCAGCTAGAAGTTTTTGCTAATATTTTCTTCATGGAAAATTGTATTTTCTGAACTGATTAATAATTAATAACAAAAAAATTTCCATTTTTTGAAATAGCCTATTTCTTATTAATTTTTTAATCATTCGTTTACCCCCCCCCCCAGCATATACAAAGAATTATATAGTAATTACTTTTTAACAGTTAACAAGTCACAGTAGGTTTGGGTTATAACGAACATAGTGTGGCTTACAAGATAATATGGAATAGTGGATAACCCATGAATATAGTGAGAAAACTTTTTAAAAGTTATATTGGAGTAATCCCTTAGCTAATAATTATTATTGTAGTTTAGCTATTTGGCTATGACAAAGTAATACTAGTTGAACCTCACTTGAAAATATATGATAGCAACTTAGTACATGGTATTGTACATACCTTCACTTGGTTAAACAACCTTTAGAGGATATGCTTAGTGATTTTATATTTCAACTCTAAATTGTTAGTTTTCAACAGTAGCTTCAATGCATTATTGGTAGATTTTGCAACCTAGGTTTTTCGTATGCTCATTTTGGTAGAATGTTTTCAACACTCCTATTTTGCTCACTTATCCTCTGTAATTTTAGAAAAATAAATTGCTTAACTAAGTTTTGTTAGATTATTTCAGTCACTCCATTATTTGAAAGACTTAATGGTTCACAAAACATTTTTGTTTCTGCATTTCAGATATCCACCTTGTCTGAAATAAAGCCAAAGAGAAACCAATATATTATTATTTTTGTGAGAACGATAACTATGATGCTATAATCTAGATTTATTAATGCATTCAGTTATTCAACAAATGTTTATCAATAGCCTATCACTTTGACACACACTTTGGATAGAGAAGTAAACAAATGGATGATGACACTTATCCTTGCTGTAACAAGGATCATATTTTGCAGAGTAAATACAAACACTGTGTGTTGTGAAGACAGAATATTTGCAAAGGGGCATTGATTATTTATTCTGCCATTTAGGGAAGAGCTCACTGAAAAAGTTATGGAATAAAAACCTGAACAACATGAGGGAGTGAGTGATAGAAATCTATGGTAGAAATTTCAGCCAAAAATAAGAGTCAGTTTGAAGAGAATAATGTCGCAACAATGTGAAGAAGGTCACTACAGCTGTACCTGAGAAAGTAAGAGGATGAATAGTAGATGCATTCAAAGAGGTAAGGGGGGACCAGATTGTCTATGTCTTACAAAATGAAAAGTAGCATAATATACCCCGTGGTTTAAAAGGGTACTATTGTTACTGGGGTGAAAATGGACATATAAAGATTAGAATAGCATTAGGGGGATGAGTTAGATGATCAACGAAATAATCCAGACAAGAACGATGAAGATTGTATCAGGGCCGTGGCAATAGAGAAATTAAGAGTTTGCTGTATTCCGTATATATTTTCAAGCTACAATAGATAGAATTTGCTGAGAGACTGGACATGGAATTCATGAGGAAGACAGGGATTAAAGATGACTCCGAGAATACTGTGATAAGAGTAATTGAGATCTATGTGACTTCAGAAGGTTTTGTTTGAGGTAAATGGTTAGAAACTTGTTTGTTTACATTAATTTTAAGAGATTCATGAGGCATCTAAACGGATATATTGGGTAAGCAATGGATAGGAACCTAGAGCACATACATAGAGATCTGAGATGGAGGTATATATTGGTATTCATCAACTGATAGATGCATTATGTTCTGTGAGACTAAATAAGATCACAAATGGCCTGAATATCAGTAGAAAAGAAAATAAATCCAAGGACCATATCCTGGTGCACTCTAAATTCAAGAGGTTGTTTCAATGAGGAAATGAAGTACGGAGATCCAAAAATATAGCAGGAAAATTAAGCAAGGTTGCTGTTTAAGAAGTAATGTGTATAGAGTCTGAAAGTGCTTCAAAGATGGGTGAGAAATAATGTCAAATGTTGCTGATAGAACAATAAGTTAAGGACAGAAAAATAATGAATTCTTTAGTAATCGAAATGAAGATTATTGGTGCACTGGATCAATGCATTTTAATATTTGTTTATACCTCATTTCTAAGTGGCAAGTTTCCCAAAGCAAGTCACATGTTTAAGCCCAGATCCAAAGGGTAAAGAAACTCTACCTTCCAATGGGAAAAAAAAAATTCAACTTTATATGGCAAAAAGTGGTTACGCAGGATGGGAAAAATTATTTTGCCATTTTGCAAACAATTTAACATGACCTGAAATCCTATAGACATTAAAAAGTTCCCAAAATGACATTATAGACATAATGCTCAGTGTCAGTCATTAGAGAAATGAATATTAAAACCACATGAGATGCCAGTGCATGCCCTCTCAAGTGGGTTAGTACTAAAAAGAAAATGGCAAGTGTTGACAAGGATGTGGAGCATCTGTAACTCTTGGCTATTGCTAGTGGGAATGTAAAATGGTACAGCCACTTGTGCAAATAATTTGTCAGTTTCTCGCATAATTAAAGACGTGATTACTGTATAACTCAGAAATTAAATTTATAGGTTTTTAGCCAAGAATAAGGAAAACACATTTATGAAAAACTTCTACGAGAATATTCATAGGAGCTTTATTTATAATGATCCAAACTGTAAACAACCCAAATATTCATTACAAATTGTGAGTATATCTAAATTATGAATGATTAAGCAAATTGTGGTATCTCCATTCAGTGAAATGGTACTTAGTGATAAACATCACTTAGAGTATTGATATATAAAAGAGCACGAGTATCAAATGTATTCTGAAAGTGAAAGAAACCAGACACACAAGATTACACATTTCATTTATTTGAAATTCTCAAAAAGGCAAAACCATCACAAAATAAAGAAGATTAGTGGTTTCCTGGAGCCAGTAGATAGGGCTAGTGAATTGACTTAAAAAAGGTGCATTACCAAACTCTTTATGTTACTATTTATGTTACCAAACTATTTATTCCTCATTTAAAATTCCTTTGGTCAAAAATGCATTGCATTGTGGATTTATAATGAGTGAAATTTATTATACAGAAATTGAAAATATAACCAACTGAAATAAAATAAAAGATAATAAAGTATGCTATGAACAAGCTTATGTAATAACAATTTGGGTAAAGTAGACAAAATTCATGAAAAAAAACACAACTTACCAAAACCAACTCAAGAAATAATAGAAAATGTGGTCATCAACAAAGCCTGAGTCCTGTCCTCTCGCTCTCCTCCCTAAACAGCATGAGCTTCACCACTTGTTCCACCTTCTCCACCAACTACGGGTCCCTGGGCTCTGTCTAGGTGCCCAGCTACGGCGCCCAGCTGCCAGCAGCGTGGCCAGCGTCTATGCAGGCAAGGGCTCTGCTTCCTGGATCTCCGTGTCCCGCTCCACCAGCTTCCTGGGCGGCATGGGGTCCGGGGACCTGGCCGCGGGGATGGCCAGGGGTCTGGCAGGAATGGGAGGCATCCAGAACAAGAAGGAGACCATGCAAGACTTGAACGACGGCCTGGCCTCCTACCTGGACAGAGTAAGGAGCCTGGAGACCAACAAGAGGAAGCTGGAGAGCAAAATCCAGGAGCACCTGGAGAAGAAGGGACCCCAGGTCAGAGACTAGAGCCATTACTTCAAGACCATTCAGGACCTGAGGGCTCAGATCTTTGCAAATACTGCAGACAATGTCCCCATCGTTCTGCAGATGGACAATGCAGGACTTGCTGCTGATGACTTTAGAGTCAAGTACGAGACAGAGCTGGTCATGCGCCAGTCTGTGGAGAACGACATCCATGGGCTCTGCAAGGTCATGGATGGCACCAATGTCACTCGGATGCAGCTGGAGACACAGTTCGAGGCTCTCAAGGAGGAGCTGCTCTTAATGAAGAAGAACCACGAAGAGCAAGTGAAAGGCCGGCAAGCCCAGATTGCAGCTCTGGGTTAACTGTGGACGCAGATGCCCCCAAATCCAGGACCTTGCCAAGATCATGGCAGACATTCGGGCCCAATATGACCAGCTGGCTCAGAAGAACCGATAGGAGCTAGACAAGTACTGGTCTCGGCCGATTGAGGAGAGCACCACAGTGGTCACCACGCAGTCCGCTGAGGTTGGACCTGCTGAGGTGACGCTCACGGAGCTGCTATGTACAGTCGAGTCCTTGTAGATAGACCTGGACTCGATGAGAAATCTGAAGGCCAGCTTGGAGAACAGCCTGAGGGAGGTGGAAGCCCGCTACGCCCTGCAGATGGAACAGCTCAACGGGATCCTGTTGCACCTGGAGTCAGAGCTGGCACAGACCTGGGCAGAGGGGTAGCGCCAGGCGCAGGAGTACGAGTCCCTGCTGAACATCAGGGTCAAGCTGGAGGCTGAGATCGCCACCTACCACCACCTGCTGGAAGATGGCGAGGACTTCAATCTTGGTGATTCCCTGGACAGCAGCAACTCCATGCAAACCATACAAAACGCCACCCGCCAGATAGTGAATGGCAAAGTTGTGTCTGAGACCAACAACACCAAAGTTCCGAGATATTAAGCCAGGAGAAGCAGGGTGCATGAGGCCAATGAAAAGTTCAGAGGTCACTGGGTGTCAAAAGAAAAAGAAAGAAAGAAAAGAAAAGAAAAAAAGAAAGAAAGATCTAAAAAATATTATGAGGAAATTGAATTCTAAATAACACTTTCCAAAAACAACAAATTCCAATTTCAGATGGTTTGCAAGTAAATTTGTACAAATAAATATGGTAGAAATATCACTAAAATTGCATAAACTCAGAAAGAACTAACAAAGAGGAACATTTGCCAACTCATTTTAGGAGGCCAGCATAATTTTCATATAAAATTTGACCAAAAAAAAAAAAGCTAGGTAAGAAAGGAAAAATTGCGGAACAGTGTTTAAATAAACAATTGCATGAATAAACCAAGGAGTCCTGAACAAGTTATTAGCCATTCAAATCCAATGATACATAAACTATACTGCATCATGTATAGATAATACAATGTGTGACAATATCACATAAATGAAAAATGCAATATACTTGAACATCAACTAGTAATTCAATATAATATGCAACTTAATAACAAGTTATTTTTTCAATAGGTGCAGAAACATTTTTGATAAAATTCAACAAATGGGCATGATAAAAATTAAGTCTCAGCAAAATAAGCATAGACATGAACATTTTTAATCTGAAAAACCACATCAACAACAAAAAACTGTACAACTAAAACGTAAGTTACTGGAAAAATATGTAATGCTTTTCTTGTAAAATGGGGTAAAAGTCATATGTGTCCAGTATCAATATTTCTGCTTGTCACAGACCAGAGTCCTATCTAATGCAAGAAGGCAATAAAAAGAAATAGACTATTAATGCAAGAAATGCATGAAGCTGACATTTATAAACAGCTAACATAATTGTTTCATAGAAATCTAAATGATACATTATTAACAAACTAATTTAGAAAATTTGACCTGTACATAACGAATATACAGTAGTCCCCCACTTATTCATGGGACATGCTTTCCAAGATCCCCAGTGAATGCCTGAAACCTTGTATAGTACTAAAACCTATATATACAATGCTTTTTCCTATAAAAATATACCTATGATAAAGTTTAATGTATAAGTTAGGAAGAGTACAAGACTAACAACAATAAATAACAATAGAACTCACAATAATACGGAAGAATTATAACAATATGCCAACATCACTACTCTTGCGCTTTGGGTCATTATTAAGTAAGATACAGGTTTCTGGAACATAAGCATTGTGATAGCGCAACAGTTAACAGATAACCAAGAAGGCTACTTAAATGACTAAGGGGTGGTGAGTGGCTTCTACAGCATGAATATGCTGAACACAGGAAGGATTCCCATCCCAGGCAGGAGGGAGCTGGATGACTTGAGAATTCACCACTCTGCTCTGAACAGTGTGTAATTTTAAACTTATGAGTTGTTTGCCTGCAATCTTTCATTTAATATTTTCAGACAATGGTTGCCTGGGGGTTACTGAAACCTACAACCATGAAAAGCATAACCTTGGATAAGGGGAGACTATAATAGAAATAAATCATTGTTATTTTTTTGAGACTTTATACTGACAAATTTAATTCCAGGCTGGATTAGATGTTGTTGGGATTTTGGGCATGTAAACCATCAATTGATGTCCCATATGTTTACAGACTGGAAAAAAAAAAGTCAGAAGTTCTGCTGCCCTCTAGGAGTACAGGTTTATCATCATCCTCTTGGGACAGTCACAGGAAGGGTAATGAGAAACGATATACTTCAGATGGAAAAACGAAGATCCCCAACAATATTTGTATGGGGTTACTTCTCTCAGAAATGAATTTGAGCATAACAAAGCAATGTTCTCTTCCTTCAGAACAAGGGCTATCTGGCTTTGGAATTGTTATGAACCAATGACATCTGTCTGCCTCCCTTTCTTTCCCTTTCTGAATGCAGATGTTTACTGTGGTTATCCTTTGTCTTGTTGATGTGCATTGGCTGTGTGTGGAGGAAAATAATTTCTCTTTTTAGTCCATATTTCTCCATATTTAGATAAACCACATTTGTAACTTCTGTGTAGATGGTCATGACCTCTGACTTTGAGCCTGATGAGCTGATGGCATAAGAATGTGATGGTGCCTTCTTTGGGGGGAGGTGAGGAAAATATATATTTTGAATATGAAAAGGAGGAAAATGAATATTTGTCTCCAGGAGTGTGAAAAGTGTTCTGTTGCATTCTTGACAATTTTTGACTCCATTTTTTTTTCAGTTATAGAATTATATAATACACTCATTGCCATGTGAGATCTTTGCCTCTTTAACTTTGGGCTTGGCCACATAATTTGCTTTGTTTATGGAACATGAGCTAAAGTGACACATTCAAGAAGAAACTTGAAATTACATTTTGTGATTGAGCTCAGCCCTGCTTTCTTCCTTTTTGCTATGGTAATTGGCATGTTCACAATAGGGCTGCCCTCTTTCCAGAGATAAAATTCACTGGGAGCTGTGCCAAGCACTACCTACAAAAGCTGCAAGGGCAGCAGTTATAGTTGAACTGCAGATGGTGTCATGTGAATTGAGCAAGAAATGACCATAATTGCAACAAGCTAAGCTTTGGGGGTTACTTATTACAAAGCAATGCTGACAAGTACATAAATCTGCCTCACAAAATGAACCATTAAATATTCTCTATTCTAAACTGAGTCAGACACTCTGAGAAAGAGTTGAATATCGACAGAGAAAATTAAGCCTCTGGACTTCCAGGTTCATATGATTTACAAATATTCATTGAGTTTTAATTTTAACTAAGGAAGCATGCTGGGATATACAAATACAAATGTGATCCATTTTGTGCCTTCAAATAATGTAAAATTTTAGTGTGGTGAAAATTCAGAAATATAACTGCTGCAAGATGTGATTTTGTAGTTAAAACAATGGAAGCACAATTCTGGTTGTAAGAATACTAAGAAGTGAGGAGAAGACTACCTCCAAACTTACTATCAGGTGGTGATCTCACGAAATAAAGAGGGTTTAAGAAGTGCATGAGAAAAGCTAAGAAATGCTAAATGTGATGGATTTCCCTCTACTCTGTTGACGTAATTCCTTCCTTTGCTTTCTAACATTAAGCTTTACTTCCCTAATTTTTTTGTTGTTTGTCTTTTGCTTTAGGAAACTTGTTAGTAAGAAAAAGGAGACTGCTATCAGATGGAAAGAAATACTAAAGGCCGAATTGGGACTTAAACTCAAGTCTTATATTGCCATTGAAAAATCATATTACACATGTGTTGAAATTCCACAGCAACTAAAACATATAAAGTAAGCTCCAAACTATTCATTTTACCTAGGCACAGTTTTTTTTTCCAGTTTAATAATTAGTAGGGAAAAGCAAAGAAGCCAAAAAAAAAAAAAAAACTAAAACTTGATTCAGAGAAAAGGTCTTTTCTTCTCAAGTTACAAAAGTATATCAAATTAAAACTCCCCGAATTTTTGAAATAATTTATAAAATATATAAATAGTTACATATTTGTATAATGTGTCAGTGTAATACTGGAAATATGTAATACTGTGAAATCTATGCCCATTTCAAACAATGATACAATGTGTAACTCAACTCTCAACATCTCAGCTGAGTGTATATATCAATTTTTAAAATCGCCAGAGTCAGAACATGACTGCTTGCTTGAGTTAAACAAGTCCCTGGAATAAAACTGTGCTCAGCATAATAACTTCTTCAGGTTTATTTGGATATGTCAGGGGTTGACAAGCTAATTTACAGATTTGAAGAGTTGGAGGGTTTATTATAGACAATCTTTTACAACCACATCTCATTAGTAGTTAGGAAATTGAAGACCAGGGAGATTAAATTACTTTCTCAGAGATAGAGGTAATTAGTAATATAGCCAGGCTTCTATCTTCTAATATCATTCTCTATTCACTATACCTCAAGTGTATATATATATACAGGCTAAGTGTTGCTTTCTCTTTTTTTAAATTGTAAACCTGGTAGGTCAACTCCTGCAGGTGGATGCTGACCAGGATGGCCCTGGGGAAGTTCTGTCTTTTTATATTGCTCCAAGAACCACTAGGTCATGTCTGTCCTGTTCCATCTCCAGGGTAGAAGATAATTCTCCCAAAATGCTTCTGTATTCCTCTGAAAAAAAAGGAGTGTGCTGTAGGAAAGCAATCTCAAAATCACCAAATGCAATTGAATTAAAATGTTTTATGCCCATTTATTTAAAAACAACACAATTACAGATTGTAGCTTCCCAAGAATATGTGTACACTTTTATATATGAGTCATTGGTGGGGTAAATATCAACTTAATGACCTTGGTTTTCTGAAGTGAAAGAAAATTTGGGGCTTTTTGGGAGTAATCAGAAATTGATATATTCAGAATATGGATATATGGCTATAGTATTCATCCTCCATCACTAGGCTGTGTCTTGGTCACTGTGATAACAAATGAAATAGTGTTAGTTTGGCTTTTTAGTATTTTAGGAAACAAAAACCTCTTTCCTTTAGGTTGTAAGGGCTAATTGCAAGGATATAACAGTTTTGTAAGCTGATAAATTAATTATAATTTATTTTGGAGTTGAATAATAAATCTACAATATGTTTGGTTACTCACATTGTTTTGTCATCCCCTCTGAACTAAGTATTAATTCTTTCCTACTCTCCTGACTCCTCCGATGTGTACTTCAGCTTCTCTCTGGGTCTTGTTTTCTTCTTGCTTGTATAATTCTTTCTAAATTTGCTACATTATCTATGTGAATTTTATACTCAGAACCTCTTGGGAATATGAGGCTGACTGGAAAGTCACTATATATTGGGAAGATTTACTTCACTAGACACCTTAGTAAAAGAAGCGTATCAGTTCCCTAATCTGTCAATGGTAGTCTTTAGATAACAAGCTGATTTTGGTTTTCAATCCAATGTGGCAAGGATAACAAGGCCATGTGATTAAATCAGGTCGACACAAATATAATTATGATAATAATAATAGGTAAACTTTTCTAAGTGCTTAATATGTGTCAGGCACATTTCAAAGCACTTTGCATATATTTGCCTACTCAATCTTAATTGCAAATCCATGAAGTTACAACCATTACTACTCCCAATTCATAAATGAAGTTCTGAAGAGTTTAGTTGTTTGTCCAAGAGAGGATAAATACTAAGGCATTACTTTTGATTTTTTAAAGACAGGAACTTTAGACTTTGCACCACCATATATTTAGCACTCTCCTGAATTCACAGGGATACAAAACTAATTAAATCACTTTGAAAACTATTACGTGATATTTGCATGTACGTTATTGTTAGTAATATAGTACTCTACTATAATATAGTACTCTCCTACCTATGTTTGCCTTCCTAAATTGTGTAATGTCTGTGTCCACACAACTGGGATTGTTTGAAACTTCTAATAGATAAAACTAATAACAACATTTAGAGACATAATTGCTCTCTCCTGAAGATTATCTTGTCATCTCTTTTCTATGTGCAGCAGTCCTGCTTCTTCTATGAAATAATCCATTCACCACCTAGTATGGTTCTTGTTACACTGGAGGTCATATCACCACAGTGACAAGCTTGTGATTAATTCCTGGACAATCGTGTGACCTCTGATTACACATATTGAGCTAGGAATGGACATGAAGTCCAACTTGGACCAGTCAGAGCCTTTCCCTTTGATGTTAGATATAAATAGTAGGAGAAAAGTATCTGTCATTCCTTTGAAGCAAGCATGTTAAGATACTGCAACCTGGAGGTCCCTCTAAGCACAATCTCACATGATGCTATTATGAGAAAAACCAAGGAATGTAACATCTCCTCAAGCAAGGACCCCCAAACTAGAAAGAAACCAAGAAAAAAAGGAATGACTCAGACAAGGCTAGCTTGCTGAGTACATGAGTTAGTTACAACTTACATACAGGGCATTACTGGGTAGCAGCAAGACAACTCCAGAGATCTGTCTCACTACCTGCCCCTAAGTTGCTTTTAAGATAATTTTTCAGCTATTCGTCTGCTGTGTGTAATGAAACTGTTTTTATTGTCATTATGTTCTCAAATATGTTCTGGGATGTTTAGGTTTTTAGGGACATCTGTTCCTCCTCTAGGCACCATGGCCTAGAAGGTACATTTCTCGTAACTCACCATAAAAAAGAAGTGAGGCTATGGCTCTGATAATCAGCTTGATTTAATTATTACATATTATACACCTATAGGGAAACATCATATTGAGTCACACAGGTATGTAAAATTATGAATTCTTAATTAATAATATTAATAAAAAGAAAAGTTAAAATTAATTTTAAAATTCTTATAGGGAGGAAAAGTTTCTATGCAGTGTATAGAATAACATAATACCTTGGAAATCAAGAAAATGAAAGTTTAATTTTGCGCTACCAGCTTACCCTGTGAGGTATTTGATGCTTGCTTGTTTTCAATGATACAATTCATAATTCAAATTACAGAGTAAAAAATCATTAATTAATCCATTCTTTTATTTAGATGCCTAGTTCAGTGTCCAATGTAGTAGTGAAAAACAGAATCCTAAACAAATAAGCTTTAAAATAAACTATTATAAAGAAAGCATAACTAGTGTACACCAATCAGTTAAGTAATAATACATAAAAAACAGGAAAATGCATATGCACCTTTATTAGTTCTTCATTCAGGGATTTGTGAAGCATGAGTACAAAATAACGTAATGTATAATGTCCTTTTCTGGTCCTCAATGACGCATGCAAATATTATTTTTTTCCCTCAAGCTATTGTTTAACCACAAGGAACAATCTTATCTAATTAGTGTTCATTACTATCTAAAAGTCAATAACTATCCACGGAACTGGGACTAAAAGAATCCCCAGATTCATTTCTAGAGAATACAACCAATGAATGCAAAGATGGGAATTTGAGAATTCATCTTTCTGGCAAATAAAATTTTATCACATGTAACTCATCCACCACAAGCTTGTATAGCTAAACCCTTGACAGATTAAATGTTTATTGTCAAAAATTGATTGGGTCTGCTTTGAAAATTTAATTGAAATCATCTCTTAATTTGATTTTAGAAATATTTGTTTTTGTTGTATTTTTTCTTAATGTCATCCTATGGCACATTTAGTTCCTAGTTGTATTTTTCAGAGTGTCAATAATCACTATAGAATAGAATACATTAGGCCTGATCTTAAGTTAGAATGAACTATATCTATTTCTTTTTTAACTATGTTAACCCTTTTATATTAATAAGAAATGGGTTTTATTGAAAAATTACATTAACAAATCAGTGTTACAATAAGAAATCAATGAACATCAACTGAAAATTTTGATCTCAGACATGCTGTAGCATTTGGAGTTTTATTTCAACAACTCTCTTACTTGTAAAAATCTAGAGGTAAACCACTGATTACCAATGTCAGTGGCTTTCTTATTCAAATGAACAGTGAAAAAAAATGCAGCCATTATTTACACAGAGCTTTCTGTCAATTAAACCATTTGCTAATTTGTTTCCTTTGAAATGGGTTTCACATTTACTCCTATGCTTAAATGTTTGCCATAAATCCTTTTTTATTCATGCTAATTTAGGTTACCTCTCATTTTGCTTCCTTGACATCAATACCAATCAATACTGCAACTCTTGATCATTTATATTGATGAATAATATTAACACAGGCAATCTAAACCAGTGGAAAATATCACATATGGTGCTTTGGAAGACTGTCCCCACAACAATTCTCTTATGGATGCTATTTTACACAGGTGATTAAATAAATTAAGCTGCATTCCTGTGACACAGAACAGTAATATGTATTATTAAAGCAGATATGTCTCTTTGATTAGGATAGCTACTATAAAATCAAAATGGCTTGCATATGAAATACTTTTACAAAATAAAGCATTGAAAAACATCATTCATATATGACAAATCTTAGCATAACACATAAACTTCTGAAAATACATGGTGCAAAGGAAAGAGGATATCACTTAGACCACTGAACATCTTGACATTTGCAACAGCGCTTTGTCATTCTTGTGAACTTCTAGGGAAGTCATATTCGATGTATCGACTCGCTCCTAAACGTTCTCCTTCAGTGTCGCAGATTTCGTTAAACATCATCGTGACATACATAATCCTCTGCTATAAAATAACTCTTTTTATTTTACTGAAACTTGACACTCTCAGCAGGTCTGCAATTAGGAAGGAATACAGAAATGATGTTTACGTAAATGTATCTGATTGTATCTCTACCATACTTATAACAGGTTATAAAAATTATAAGAATGAGGGGGAGGAGCCAAGATGGCCGAATAGGAACAGCTCCGGTCTACAGCTCCCCATGTGAGCTATGCAGAAAACGCGTGATTTCTGCATTTCCATCCGAGGTACCGGGTTCATCTCACTAGGGAGTGCCAGACAGTGGGTGCAGGACAGTGGGTGCAGCGCACCGTGCGCGAGCCGAAGCAGGGCGAGGTGTTGCCTCACTCGAGAAGCACAAGTGGTCAGGGAGTTCCCTTTCCTGGTCAAGGAAAGGGGTGACAGACGGCACCTGGAAAATAGAGTCACTCCCACCCGAATACTGCGCTTTTCCGACGGGCTTAGGAAAGGGCGCACCAGGAGATTAAATCCTGCCCCCGGCTCGGAGGGTCCTATGCCCACGGAGTCTGGCTGATTGCTAGCACAGCAGTCTGAGATCAAACTGCAAGGCAGCAGCGAGGCTGGGGGAGGGGCGCCCGCCATTGCCCAGGCTCGCTTAGGTAAATGAAGCAGCCTGGAAGCTGGAACTGGGTGGAGCCCACCACAGCTCAAGGAGGCCTGCCTGCCTCTGTAGGCTCCATCTCTGGGGGCAGGGCACAGGCAAACAAAAAGACAGCAGTAACCTCTGCAGACTTAAATGTCCCTGTCTGACAGCTTTGAGGAGAGCAGTGGTTCTCCCAGCAGGCAGCTGGAGATCTGAGAACGGGCAGACTGCCTCCTCAACTGGGTCCCTGACCCCTGACCCCCAAGCAGCCTAACTGGGAGGCACCCCCTAGTAGGGGCAGACTGACACCTCACACGGCTGGGTAATCCTCTGAGACAAAACTTCCAGAGGAACGATGAGACAGCAGCATTCGTGGATCACGAAAATCCGTGGTTCTGCAGACACGGCTGCTGATACCCAAGCAAAAAGGGTCTGGAGTGGACCTCTAGCAAACTCCAACAGACCTGCAGCTGAGGGTCCTGTCTGTTAGAAGGAAAACTAACAAACAGAAAGGACATCCACACCAAAAACCCATCTGTACATCACCATCATCAAAGACAAAAAGTAGATAAAACTACAAAGATGGGGAAAAAACAGAGCAGAAAAACTGGAAACTCTAAAAATCAGAGCACCTCTCCTCCTCCAAAGGAATGCAGTTCCTCACCAGCAACAGAACAAAGCTGGATGGAGAATGACTTTGACGAGCTGAGAGAAGAAGGCTTCAGATGATCAAACTACCCTGAGCTACAGGAGGAAATTCAAACCAAAGGAAAAGAAGTTGAAAACTTTGAAAAAAATTTAGACAAATGTATAACTAGAATAACCAAAACAGAGAGGTGCTTGAAGGAGCTGATGGAGTTGAAAGCCAACGCTCGAGAACTACGTGAAGAATGCAGAAGCCTCAGGAGCCGATGCGATCAACTGGAAGAAAGGGTATCAGTGATGGAAGATGAAATGAATGAAATGAAGTGAGAAGGGAAGTTTAGACAAAAAAAGAATAAAAAGAAACAAACAAAGCCTCCAAGAAATATGGGACTATGTGAAAAGACCAAATCTGTGTCTGATTTGTGTACCTGAAAGTGACGGGGAGAATGGAAGCAAGTTGGAAAACACTCTGCAGGATATTATCCAGGAGAACTTCCCCAATCTAGCAAGGCAGGCCAACATTCAGATTCCGGAAATACAGAGAACGCCACAAAGTTGCTCCTCCAGAAGAGCAACTGCAAGACACATAATTGTCAGATTCACCAAAGTTGAAATGAAGGAAAAAATGTTAAGGGCAGCCAGAGAGAAAGGTCAGGTTACCCACAAAGGGAAGCCCATCAGACTAACAGCAGATCTCTCGGCAGAAACTCTACAAGCCAGAAGAGAGTGGCGGCCAATATTCAACATTCTTAAAGAAAAGACTTTTCAACCCAGAATTTCATATCCAGCCAAACTAAGCTTCATAAGTGAAGGAGAAATAAAATACTTTACAGACAAGCAAATGCTGAGAGATTTTGTCACCACCAGGCCTGCCCTAAAAGAGCTCTTGAAGGAAGCACTAAACATGGAAAGGCACAACCGGTACCAGCCACTGCAAAATCATGACAAAATGTAAAGACCATCAAGATTAGGAAGAAACTGCATCAACTAACGAGCAAAATCACCAGCTAACATCATAATGACAGGATCAAATTCACACATAATAATATTAACTTTAAATGTAAATGGACTAAATGCTCCAATTAAAAGACACAGAGTGGCAAATTGGATAAGGAGTCAAGACCCATCAGTGTGCTGTATTCAGGAAACTCATCTCACATGCAGAGACACACATAGGCTCAAAATAAAAGGATGGAGGAAGATCTACCAAGCAAATGGAAAACAAAAAAAGGCAGGGTTTGCAATCCTAGTCTCTGATAAAACAGACTTTAAACTAACAAAGATCAAAAGAGACAAGGCCATTACATAATGGTAAAGGGATCAATTCAACAAGAGGAGCTAACTATCCTAAATATATATGCATCCAATACAGGAGCACCCAGATTCATAAAGCAAGTCCTGAGCGACTTACAAAGAGACTTAGACTCCCACACAATAATAGTGGGAGACTTTACCACCCCACTGTCAACATTAGACAGATCAACGAGACAGAAAGTCAACAAGGATACCCAGGAACTGAACTCAGCTCTGTGCCAAGCAGACCTAATAGACATCTACAGAACTCTGAACCCTAAATCAACAGAATATACATTTTTTTCAGCACCACACCACACCAATTGAAAAAGTGACCACATAGTTGGAAGTAAAGCTCTCCTCAGCAAATGTAAAAGAACAGAAATTATAACAAGCTGTACCTCAGACCACAGTGCAATCAAACTAGAACTCAGGATTAAGAATCTCACTCAAAACCGCTCAACTACATGGAAACTGAACAACCTGCTCCTGAATGACTACTGGGTACATAACGAAATGAAGCCAGAAATAAAAATGTTCTTTGAAACCAACAAGAACAAAGACACAACATACCAGAATCTCTGGGACACATTCAAAGCAGTGTGTAGAGGGAAATTTATAGCACTAAATGCCCACAAGAGAAAGTAGGAAAGATCCAAAATTGACACCCTGACATCACAATTAAAATAACTAGAAAAGCAAGAGCAAACACATTCAAAAACTAGGAGAAGGCAAGAAATAACTAAAATCAGAGCAGAACTGAAGGAAATAGAGACAAAAAAAAACCCTTCAAAAAATTAATGAATCCAGGAGCTGGTTTTTTGAAAGGATCAACAAAATTGATAGACCGCTAGCGAGACTAATAAAGAAAAAAAGAGAGAAGAATCAAATAGATGCAATAAGAAATGATAAAGGGGATATCACCACCGATCCCACAGAAATACAAACTACCATCAGAGAATACTACAAACACCTCTACTCAAATAAACTAGAAAATCTAGAAGAAATGGATAAATTCCTCGACACATACACTCTCCCAAGACTAAACCAGGAAGAAGTTGTATCTCTGAATAGACCAATAACAGGCTCTGAAATTGTGGCAATAATCAATAGCTTACCAACCAAAAAGAGTCCAGGACCAGATGGATTCACAGCCGAATTCTACCAGAGGTACAAGGAGGAACTGGTACCATTCCTTCTGAAACTATTCCAATCAATAGAAAAAGAAGGAATCCTCCCTAACTCATTTTATGAGGCCAGCATCATCCTGATATCAAAGCCAGGCACAGACACAACCAAAAAAGAGAATTTTAGACCAATATCCTTGATGAACATTGATGCAAAAATCCTCAATAAAATACTGGCAAACCGAATCCAGCAGCACATCAAAAAGCTTATCCACCATGATCAAGTGGGCTTCATCCATGGGATGCAAGGCTGGTTCAATATATGCAAATCAATAAATGTAATCCAGCATATAAACAGAACCAAAGACAAAAACCACATGATTATCTCAATAGATGCAGAAAAGGCCTTTGACAAAATTCAACAACGCTTCATGCTAAAAATTCTCAATAAATTAGGTATTGATGGGATGTATCTCAAAATAATAAGAGCTCTCTATGACAAACCCACAGCCAATATCATACTGAATGGGCAAAAACTGGAAGTACTCCCTTTGAAAACCGGCAGAAGACAGGGATGCTCTCTCTCACCACTCCTATTCAACATAGTGTTGGAAGTTCTGGCCAGGGCAATCAGGCAGGAGAAGGAAATAAAGGGTATTCAATTAGGAAAAGAGGAAGTCAAATTGTCCCTGTTTGCAGATGACATGATTGTATATCTAGAAAACCCCATTGTCTCAGCCCAAAATCTCCTTAAGCTGATAAGCAACTTCAACAAAGTCTCAGGATACAAAATCAATGTACAATAATCACAAGCATTCTTATACACCAATAACAGACAAACAGAGAGCCAAATCATGAGTGAACTCCCATTCACAATTGCTTCAAAGAGAATAAAATACCTAGGAATCCAACTTACAAGGGACGTGAAGGACCTCTTCAAGGAGAATTACAAACCACTGCTCAATGAAATAAAAGAGGATACAAACAAATGGAAGAACATTCCATGCTCATGGGTAGGAAGAATCAATATCGTGAAAATGGCCATACTGCCCAAGGTAATTTATAGATTCAATGCCATCCCCATCAAGCTACCAATGACTTTCTTCACAGTATTGGAAAAAACTACTTTAAAGTTCATATGGAACCAAAAAAGAGCCCGCATTGCCAAGTCAATCCTAAGGCAAAAGAACAAAGCTGGAGGCATCATGCTACCTGACTTCAAACTATACTACAAGGCTACAGTAACCAAAACAGCATAGTACTGGTACCAAAACAGAGATATAGATCAATGGAACAGAACAGAGCCCTCAGAAATAATGCCGCATATCTACAACTATCTGATCTTTGACAAACCTGAGAAAAACAAGCAATGGGGAAAGGATTCCCTATTTAATAAATGGTGCTGGGAAAACTGGCTAGCCATATGTAGAAAGCTGAAACTGGATCCCTTCCTTACACCTTATACAAAAACTAATTCAAGATGGATTAAAGACTTAAATGTTAGACCTAAAACCATAAAAACCCTAGAAGAAAACCTAGGCATTACCATTCAGGACATAGGCATGGGCGAGGACTTCATGTCTAAAACACCAAAAGCAATGGCAGCAAAAGCCAAAATTGACAAATGGGATCTAATTAAACTAAAGAGCTTCTGCACAGCAAAAGAAACTACCATCAGAGTGAACAGGCAACCCACAAAATGGGAGACAATTTTCGCAACCTACTCATCTGACAAAGGGCTAATATCCAGAATCTACGATGAACTCAAACAAATTTACAAGAAAAAAACAAACAACCCCATCAAAAAGTGGGTGAAGGAGATGAACAGACACTTCTCAAAAGAGGACATTTATGCAGCCAAAAGACACATGAAAAAATGCTCAGAATCACTGGCCATCAGAGAAATGCAAATCAAATCCACAATGAGATACCATCTCACACCAGTTAGAATGGCAATCATTAAAAAGTCGGGAAACAACAGGTGTTGGAGAGGATGTGGAGAAATAGGAACACTTTTACACTGTTGTTGGGAGTGTAAACTAGTTCAACCATTATGGAAGTCAGTGTGGCAATTCCTCAGGGATCTAGAACTAGAAATACCATTTGACCCAGCCATCCCATTACTGGGTATATACCCAAAGGACTATAAATCATGCTGTTATAAAGACACATGCACACATATGTTTATTGTGGCACTATTCACAATAGCAAAGACTTGGAACCAACCCAAATGTCCAACAATGATAGACTGGATTAAGAAAATGTGGCATATATACACCATGGAATACTATGCAGCCATAAAAAATGATGAGTTCATGTCCTTTGTAGGGACATGGATGAAATTGGGAATCATCATTCTCAGTAAACTATTGCAAGGACAAAAAACCAAACACCGCATGTTCTCACTCATAGATGGGAATTGAACAATGGGAACACATGGACACAGGAAGGGGAACATCACACTCTGGGGACTGTTGTGGGGTGGAGGGAGGGGTGAGGGTTAGCATTAGGAGATATACCTAATGCTAAATGACGAGTTAATGGGTGCAGCACACCAGCATGGCACATGTATACATATGTAACTAACCTGCACATTGTGCACATGTACCCTAAAACTTAAAGTATAATAATAATAATAAAAAATAAAAATTATAAGAATGATTTAAAAAATTACAAAATTATGTTATGTTTAACAGTACTGCACTGAACATTCTTATAGGTAAATATTTTTGTGTACACTTTTTTTCTTAAAGTAACTATCTAAAGATTAATTAGATGGGTCAGATAACACAGATATTTTTTAAACTGTCTGTAATGATCATGTTCTTTTAATCCACTGGCTGGACATAAATAATTGGAATCTATCCTGACCTATGGATAAACTGGCCCCTAGCGTTCTGTCAAAATAAGATTTTTGAGTTATTTTTAAATGTACATCAAGTTATTGTTGACCATAATCACCCTGATGGGATTATTATGCATTGTATGCCTATATCAAAATATTGCATGTATTTCATAAATATATATACCTACTATGTACACATAACTTTTAAATAAGATTTTTGAGAATATAGAATTTAAGATGTTGGCAAAATTATTACATTAATTCAAAGGTGAAGGTAACTAGTGAGCTGATTTTCTTTTTCCAGTTAATATCTCTCTAATCTATTACATACTTTAACTGCTGAGTCTCTGTAGTTGTTTGAAATGTTATATAAATTAATCATGTTATTATTAATTCTATTTTGTAGAGAGAATGTTATAAAATATCAAGGTATTTAAAATTAATTTCTCTTAAAATTATACTAGAATTTGTCACTTGCCCTCTTTGCATTTTGATTAACCTTCTACAAGTAACTCAGAGACTTAAGTTTTTGAGGATTTACAGGATTCAAAATTACTTTACAACCTATTAATTAGAGTATAAATTAGTATTATCATTTCTGATAGCTTAAAATATATATATGCCATCTGACCCATTAATTTAATTTTTAGATAGTGATTTTCAGAAAAAAAGTGCATACAAAAATATTTACCTATAAGAATGTTCAGTACAGTACTGTTAAAAATAGGAAAATTTTAAGGAAAAAGTTCAACCAAAAAGAGTAGGTTTAAATAAATTATGACCCAAGGGACTATTTTTCAATGATAAAAGGTAAAACTATACTAATGAACTTGGATATATGAAAACGTATTTTATACCTAATATTTTGTAATAATTCTAAAAAAGTAGTTTTTGAAACACTATAAATATTATGAACTGGTTTAATATAAAATGTGAATATATCAACATCGGAATGTTTCCTAATGTAAAGAGGAATAATTTCTAGAAGATATGTCTCTTTTTAATTATCTACTTTTTCTATAATTATAATTTGTTCACCTTGGAATTATGCCATATCTATATTTAAATTGTACAAGTTTACTATAACTAGCTTATTCTTCAGAGATGATGGTTTTCACATGCCTATCACAGTGAAGCATCTTGCCAGTGTTGACTTGCTAAATCTATCAGCCCTGATACCCCCTTTATCATTGGAATGCTAGTTATATGAAGTAACATATCCTGAGGTCTGTAGAGTTTGATGCAATTATCCAGAAAAAGAATAAAAGAAGTGTTGGGTCAGTGAGGTGGTAAGGAAGATGATTCTTTGAGCAGTCAGAAGCATACAACTGTAGCACATTAAACAAGGCAAGAAGCAGCGAAACATTTATAAAGGGCTCAATTATACAGGACTACAGAAACTAACTGAATAAATTCAGATTTCATCCAAAAAGGAACCCAAAACTTCTAAAAGATTGTCAGCAAGGAAACAAAACCAAGCTGCATTAATTCACTTCTCTGTAGTGAACAAATCTGGAAATCAAGACATATACAGTAGGAGTCATGTCTTGTACAAGAAGAAGATATTAGGTCAGAGAAAAAAATAAAAATAAATAAATATAAAAATACTAGGTTAGAGAAATTGGAAGCCATGGTGATTTAAAATGCATAACTGAATTTTCAGATATATATAGAAAGAATAAACACAATGATAGACATCTTTATTTTAGTATTTCGATAATATTTTGAAGTTTATGTATTCAAAAAATTATGGTTCAATTAAATGTCAATAAAAAACAGCATTCATTATCAGAATCCTTGAGTTCATAATTTTGTGTTAGGGTTGAGTTCATAATTTTGTGTTAGGGTTGAAGACAGATTTTACTTTATAATTCATTGATTAAGAATTTACTAATAAATAGGCCTAAGGACACAGAAGCAGTAATCTAGTAAATTCAAAGCTTTATGATATTTTATTAAATAATGAGTTGCACATTTTAATTCACTAGGTCTATTGGTATGTGAGATTGTGCATTTAATGCAGACAATTTCTGCTGCATAATGAAGGTGTTTGTATTCATTTACCTTTCCTACTTCAAAAGGTAGATTGATGAGATTTTTCAATGTGATTATCATTTAATTTTTCTTCCACATCTGTGAAAATAAAAATTGAAGTTCCTACAGAACTTTAAAATAGAATTCTGGGTCACATTCTTTTCAGAGTTTTGCTTATATTATGACATAGGATAAATGTCTAAGGCATAAATGTTTGTATAAATTAGACTTCAATGTGTTATTCTATCAAATGATACACTAGACAATTTTTTCAGCAGACTATTAACATTATTGGAATGTTGGATAAAAATATGTATGAATGGTGTGGCAGGCTGATTGTAAACGTAGATGCCATTACCCCAACTCCTGATGTTCGTGTTGTTGTGTGATCATCTCCTTTTAAGGTGTGTACTTTCTGTGATGTGCTTCTAACCAATAGAATGCAGCAGAGGTATCTGATTATGCATACATGGTTATTGATGGCATCTTGCTAGAGTGTCTTCCTTTCCTTTTGTGGCTTTAAGGAAACAAAGTGGCCATGTTGCGTGATTGCTCATGTCAAGAAAATTTGGACAGCTTCTAGAAGCTGAAAGTAGCCTTCTGTTGAAAGCCAGCAAAAACCAAACAGTAACAACAACAAAAAAACCAACCAAACCAAACCAAACAAAACCAAAACAAAAAAAGAAAACAAGCAAAAAACCAAGAAACCTTCAACACCCACAAAGAAATGAATTCTGCCAATCACCTGAGTAAACTTAGTAGCAAATCTTACCATGGTGAACCTCAGCTAAGACTTCAGCCCTAGCCAACACTCAGCTAGGTGGTACTCAGATTTCAAGCCACAGAAACAGTGAGACAATAAATACCTGCTGTTTTAAGCAGGTACGTTCGGAGCAATGCTTTTGTACAGCAATAGAAACTAATAGGGATGGTTTGTGAGTATACTCAAGGGCAAATAAATGATCAGAATTCATCCTCCAACACAGTGACTCCAACTTAATAAGGTTCCTTTGGGCTGCCAGTCTGGAGAATGTTAACAGATAAAACAAAGTTATTTTATATATGCTCGTTACATTTTCAGTTGTAATAATGAGCACTCCAAATAGCAGGTTTGATTTAGATTGAGTTGATCCTTCCAGAAACAACTCTTTTTATTTAGCATTCTCTGGAATGAGTGGCAGTAGAAATATATTTTCTTAAAGATCATTAACAAATTATTTAGATCCTACTGACAGAAACAATAGTTCTTCAAAAATGTTGGCAAATTTGTCTCTTACTACAACTATGTAAAGACAAAAATGATGTAATCAAAGTCAGAATACTTGAAGACTTATGAGAATACTTTTTATTTGGTAACATTTCAGCTTGCACTGAGAAGAAAGGTAAATTTAGAATATAGAAGCACTGGGAGATTATCTGTCATGTGTTATTTGAGGCTTGATAATGTTTGTGTACCCCAAATATCTTCCTTCTTCCCTTGATTTTCTTTTCTCTTAAGTTAATAAAAACGTAGATAATCAGTATGTTACCGACACTTCTTGAGATCAGTATCCACTCCATCTCTTAATTCCACTGAAATTGAGCGTTTTATCTGATCATTAATATCTAAAAGTGACGATGAACATGGAACTGGTGTCATTACGTAGTCAGACCAGGGAGCCAGTCTGTGCCCATTCCTGCAGTACAGAAGGAATATAAGTTCCTTCTGTAAGTTCCACCCCTCCTCGCATTGGCTTTCTACCTTTTAAGAATGTTTCCGGAATGGGCGCAGTGGCTCACGCCTGTAATCCCAGCACTTTGGGAGGCCGAGGTGGGTGGATTACCTGAGCTCAGGAGTTCGAGACCAGCCTGGGCAACACGGTGAAACCCCGTCTCTACTAAAATACAAAAAGTTGGCTGGGCGTGGCAGCGTGCGCCTGTAATCCCAGCTACTCGGGAGCCTGAGGCAGGAGAATGGAGTGAACCAGGGAGGTGGAGCTTGCAGTGAGCCCAGATCGCGCCACTGCACTCCAGCCTGGGTGACAGAGCGAGACTCCGTCTCAAAAAAAAAATAAAACATAAAAAAAAAAGAAAAAAGAAACAGAATGTTTTCTTACTTATGTGTTTTCTGACAACGAAAACGAACATTGTATTTTGAAAAATACTAAAAAGGTCATTAACAAGTAAAGAAAAACAAGTTCTCTATTACTAAATTTTGGTTATCAAATCAAAGACTTGGGTAGGTAAATCAAGATAGTAAACCACTACTGTTTACAAAATCTTCTCAAGGACAAGAAAAATATTAATACCTATTATGCATCTGAAAACAAATTTAGATCTCTGTAGCCTTGTATGTAGTGTGTAATTGCAGATCTAGTTACTAATCCTAAAATACGGTTTCTTTATAATTTTAAAATAAATTTTTATGTAACATTATAATATATCCTGAACATTTCCATATCTTTGAATTAACACATTACATTTACATATAAAATGTTTTCCAGATATTGTTTGTATAAAATGTATTTAAATGTTTTTTTGTCTCAGAAATTTCTTTTTAAAATATCTAATCTTTTTATAATTTATAATGATGAATATACATACAAGCACAAAGTATCGAAATTATATAATATGAGTAACTTTGTGGGAAAATGCACACATACATGTTTTGTTAATTTTGACCATTTTATATATTTTAAAAAGTGATAATAATGAATGTACACAAAACTGTAAAGTATATTGCCAAATTTTCATGGCCTAAAGTTTTTTTTTCTTTTCTGATCATATATATATAAATTCCTAGTCAGTTTGTGTTCTATTTAATTTATCATAAAAATATAAAGAATTATTTTCCTTTAATAACGAATTCTTAGTTTATGACAGAATTGATTCATATTGAAACATTATTTTTAAGCTATCTTCTTTTGATATATATGAATTTTGTATATTCAGTGACAAATCGTTCTGGTTTTCCTGGGATTGAGGAGATTCCGTTTTAAAATTAGAACAGTCTTGGGCAAAACGAGAGAATTGATCAACTTATTTCTATATGATTTTTTTTCTTAGTGTTTTGTGGCAGAAACTTCTCCCTATTCTCTAACTTTCAGTTCCCTCTTTTTCTTGGACATATACCTGGATTATATTTTCTAGCACCTTATACAGTTAAATGAAGCCATGTATGTATAATAAGTGAAAGTAATGTGTCCTCATCCAGGCCTTATGCATTGAAATAGCTCACACATGTTCCTTCAGGTCCTGCTTCCCTTTTGACTGACCAGGATGAAGAAAGCCACAGTAACTGTAGAAGTCACATGTTGGGTGGCATCTTGGGCAGCCTAGATTCCTGAATGACTGTGTGGAGCTTCCCTTCTGACAAGGAACACAACTTTGGAGTGTCGTGCAAAAATAAACTTCTATTTTATTTGAACTAGTATGAATTCTGAATTGATTTGTAATAGTTACTAGAGTTAAAATGCCCATTACATTGTTTCAATATTTAACAATGTTTGCTTAGTTACAAAGGTCATCACTAAACTGCTTATGAGGTTTATATATGTGGAGGAATGATCTGAGATTGTCATAGCTATTTTTGGAATTACATATTTTATTGAATAAAACAAATTAAAAATATTAAGTAAAATTGGGGGAAAAAAAAGCTAGTGAGATAATTGGAATTAGTCCAGATTGCCAAGGTTAAAAGAAGTTTTATTTTATGTGAGAGAGATTAAAAAATCACAGTGGAACTTTTGTTAGTAGTAGTGATGTTGAGAGTAATTTAATAGACTGAAATTATTGGCATCTCAGTTTTATATATTTAATATATTTATTTTTAGGATTATCCTTCACAATTCTAACTGGATCTTTTATAACTTGACTGTAAAATTAGATTTAAATTTAGTTATTCAAAACTCAAAAACAGTACCTTATTCATTTCTAAAAGTAAAATTGATAAAAAGTAAAATGTGTTCTCAAAGCCTCCTGCTGAATGTCACAGACATACTATAGCCATGTAAATTTAAAATTTAGAAAAAAAAGTTCAGTGAACAAAGGAGTATCTAAAATGAATCAGAAAGTTTGTTTTGTCATTACGTGAGGAGAATAAGGGGAAATTCATGGGTTAAAAATTAATAAAGATTATGCTGGTATACTTAACTTACGCTAGATAAAATGAAGGTATTTGTTGGGGGAATTGGCTATATTAATCTTTCAGCTTCAGTTTTAATTAAATAAAAGATGTGAAATAATACAACTGTCCAAAATTAAATACAGTTGGCTGTGCTTCCAAATAATAATCAATGTTTGAACTTATTTATTAAACTTTAGGTTTAAAGTTATTATTATAAATGCAGTATTTTCCTGCTGGAAATCAGTTTAGTTTTTTTCTCCCAGCTTTATTAAGGTATAATTGACAAATAAAAATTGTATGTATTTACAATGTACAAAATGATGTTTGAAAATATGTATATATTGTGAAAAGGTAATGTATACATTGTGAAAAGGTAACATATACATCACATCACATAGTTACCTATTTTTTGTTTTTGAAAACACATTTAAGATCTACTGTTTTAGCAAATTCCCCATATAAGTTACAGTATTATTAACTAAATTAACCAGGCTGTATATTAGATCTCCAGAACTTATCCATTCTGCACAGCAGAAATATTAAACCTTTTATACCTCTGTACACACATACACACACACATACAGAAACACTTTTTTTTATTCGATCATTCATTGACAAACACATATGTGGTTTTCATGTCTTGACTACTGTGAATAATGCTGAAACAGATACTAATAAAAATGGGAGTGCAGCTATAAATTTGACATATTGGCTTTATTTATTTTAGAAATATATACACCAGTGGGATCGCTGTAGCATGTAGGATCGCTGTAGCATGTAGTAGTTCTATTTTTAATTCTTTTGAGGGACATCCATACTGTTTCCATTCCCACCAACAGTGTACAAAGGTTCCTTTTAATCCACATCCTTGTCTACATTTGTTATCGTTTTTCTTTTTGATATTAACTATTCTAACAGGTGTGTGGTAATATCTAGTTGTGATTTCGATTTACTTTTCCATGACTATTAGTGACGTTTAGTATTTTTCATATACCAGCTGGCATTTCTGTACCTTCTTTGGAGAAATGTCTATTCAGACTACTTGCCCATTTTTAAATTGGGTTATTTGTTTTCTTACTATTGAACTGTGTGGATTCCTTACATATTTTAAATATCAACCCCTCATTAGATGTATGGTATGCAAATGCTTTCTTTCATTCCATATGTTGTCTCTTCACTCTTTTGATTGATTCTCTCACTGTGCAGAAGCTTTTTAGTTTGATGCAGTCCCATTTGTCTATTTTACCTTTTGTAGTCTGTGCTTTTGGGGTCATATCCAAAATTTATTGCCCAGCTATTGGCAAGAGGCTTTTCCACAACACTTTTTTTTTTCTAGTAGTTTTACAATTTCAAGTTTTACATTTAAGTCTTTAATCCATTTTGAGTTGATTTTTGTATATGGTGTGAAATAAGTGTCCAATTTTATTCTTCTGCATATGGATATCCATTTTTCTCAATACCATTTATTAAAGACACTACCCTTTTTTCACTATGTCTTCTTGGCATCTTTGTCAAAGATCAATTAACTCTAAATGCATGGATTTATTACTAGTCTCTCTGTTCTGTTACACTGGTTCACATGTCTGTTTTTATGCCAGTATCATGCTGTTTTGATTACTATAGGTTTGTAGTATATTTTGAAACCAGGCAGTGGGATGATCCCACCTTTGTTCTTCTTGCTCCAGATTGCTTTCGCTATTTGGCATGTTTTGTAATTCCATGGGAATTTTAGAATTTTTTTCTACTTCTATGAAAAATGCTATCAGTATTTTGATAGGTATTTCATTGAATCTATAGATAGCTTTGGTAGAATAGAAATTTTCACAATATTACTTCTTCCAATATATGAACGCAAAAATCTTTTCATTTATTTGTTTCTTATTCAATTTCTTTTATTCATGTTTAATTAATTTTAACAGTGGTTCAATTATTTAATTAACTTGATATTTCAATACTATATTTTCAATGGTTTTACATTTCTAATGTCATTAATGTGATGACCTATTTATAATTGAGAAAGAGATATAGATTCAACTTCTTTTAACTTTTTAATACCCTCAGAAAGTAGAGCATTTGCTCTTCTATAGGTCTGAATTTTAGCATGCCAGGGTTCCATGGTTTCAGAACGCATCTTTACTTTTATTTTTTATATTTCTTATTCCTAGTGTGTTGCCCCTTTTTCCAAGATGGTTCATCATCAAAACTTCATTCCAATGCCTCTGGAAAATCTAGGGAAATATTATTAAAAAATCAAATCAGAAAATTCCTACAACTTTTATACTTGGTATGTAAGAACTTTAATACTTAACACTTCTTTTAACCATAAATTAGCAACACTAATAAAATACAAAGCAAAACAAAACATACTGCTAGAGTTAGTGATGTTGGGGGAGAACCACTGGCAGTAAAATCAAAGAAATGAATACCCGTGAATAATAGCTGAGTTAGAAAATAAAAGTTTTAGAAAAAGATTTTCTTTGAATTCTCAGTGAGGTACAATGTGATATTGCTCTTACAAAATAGAAGTCTAACATAAGAAGAAAGCAAGCAGGAATGCAACGACATAAATCTGAGAAGCAGATTGCAAAAAAAATAACTTGCTTAATTAAAAATACAATACAGAGAAATTAAAAATGCAAGAATGACTATACTTCCCATTGACAACCATAAAATCTTAAAAGGAAATTGAAGAAATGGAAATAGAAATTTTAGAAGGTAATCTTTATTAATTCCCTCAGAATTATTGCAGTAAAAGACAATAGAAAAAGGGAAACTAATCAAAACCAAGGATTACTGAGAAGAGGACCTAACTACAAATAAAATTGTCCAATAAATACACAAAACAAACAGATAACACAAAATAAATCAAAGCTAAGACAAAACAATAATATCTCTATGCTAAAGACGACTTGAAGTTCTAAGGCAAATGCATTCATCTTATTTCTGGCAAAATTAGTGCAGAACTAATGGAGCTTGGCAAGATGCTTGAATTCTGAAGATTTGAGCAATAATCCCCCATAATCACTCAAGCAGATAAAGAGATTTAACAAACAAACAAAAGTAACAGAAGTAGAATTAATTTCCTTTTTTCTTGTAAATAGTATATTCCAGCCAGCAGTATTTACAAAAGTTTCTTTTAATAGTTATAAACAAGAGACAGATACCCTTATGTCAGTATGTAGCTACTGTTTCTACTATATCTCTGAACGTTTTCTACAGACTCTCTCAGTATGGCAATACTGGCCTTCTTGCAGTGAACATGGCAAGTTTAAACATGTCAGGAGTCTTACTGCATCATGATCTTTGTATTATTTTCTTTAACTGTATCATTCTTTCTACAAACAGACACATTGCTCATTTATAGCAACCATTTAGATCTCAGCTCAAACATCACCTTTTGAAGACTTTCATGAACATCCATCAAAAGAGCATCACCTGTTACTCACTCATTTCTTTGTTTTATTTTTCTTCTTAGGACTTATCAATAACTAATAGCTTATTAATTTTTATTTTCTATTTTTCATAGAAGACAAATTTTGAATGTTCACAGTTATATCACCAGTTTACATATTACTGGGGAAATAGTAAGACTCAATTAATCTTTGCTAAATAAATAAATGAACAGGAAATATATGGATGGGGGAATCCACCAAATGAATTTGAATACAGACTGACTCAGACTTCTATTTTACATAAAAAGTAAACAGATGGCCTGAAATTAAGACAGCATTCAGAATTGATACTGCTAAAGACCCTCATGATAAAAGTAAGTAAATTTGAGAATAAAATAAAGATTTATCAAATAAACCACTGACTTAGCATTGGGATATGAATCATTAAAGGCTACAGTTAAGTGAATATAGGAACATTAGAAGTTAAAAACTCATCAACGAATTTTCTTTTTTTTTTTTGACCTTTGAACTTTTTATTGGCCTCCTGCTCCCCAAAGAGAACCTGCTTCTGCTGGCTTAATGTCTCAGAACTTTGGTGTCCTTGGTTTCAGACACCACTTTACAATCCACTATCCAGCGGGTGGCAGTCTTTCGGATGGTTTGTATGGAGTTAGTTGCTGCTGTCCAGGGCATCACCAAGGTTAAAATCCTCGCCGTCTTCCAGCAGGCGGCGGTAGGTGGCGATCTCAGCCCCCAAATTGACCTCGATGTTCGGCAGGGCCTCTTACTCCTGCGCCTGGCGCTACCCCTCTGCGCGGGTCTGTGCCAGCCAGCTCCGACTCCAGGTGCAGCAGGATCCTGTTGAGCTGCTCCTTCTGCAGGGCTTAGCGGGCCTCCACCTCCCTCGGGCTGTTCTCCCAATTGGCCTTGTTATTTCTCATCAAGTCCAGGTCGATCTCCAAGGACTGGACTGTATGTGTCAGTTCCATGAGCGTCACTTCGGCAGCTCCAACCTCAGCGGACTGCATGGTGACCACTGTGGTGCTCTCCTCAATCTGCTGAGACCAGTACTTTTCTAGATCCTCTCGGTTCTTCTGAGCCAGCTCTTCGTTATTGGGCCCGGATGTCTGCCATGATCTTAGCGAGATCCTGAGATTTGGGGCCATCTACCTCCACTGTTAACCCAGAGCTGCAATCTGGACTTGCAGGTCTTTTACTTCCTCTTCATGGTTCTTCTTCATGAAGAGCAGCTCCTCCTTGAAAGCCTCGATCTGTGTCTTCAGCTGCAGCCAAGTGACATTGGTGTCATCAATGATCTTGTGGAGCCCATGGATTTCTCTCTCCACAGACCGGCGCATGACTGTCCCTGTCTCATACTTGACTCTAAAGTCATCAGCAGCAAGACCAGCATTGTCAACCTGCAGAACAATGTGGGCATTGTCCATAGTATTTGTGAAGATCTGAGCCCTCAGGTCCTGAATGGTAATGGCCCCAGTCTCTGACTTAGGGTCTCTTCTTCTCCAGGTGCACCCCAAGTTTGCTCTCCACCCTCTGGTTCTTGGTCTCGAGGCTCCTCGCTCTGTCCAGATAAGAGGCCAGGCGGTCGTTCAGGATTTGCATGGTCTCCTTCTCTTTCTGGAAGCCTCCCATTCCTGCCAGATCCCCCCGGCCATCCTCGTGGCCAGGCCCCCGGGTCCCAAGCCACCCTGGAAGCTGCTGGAGTGGGACACGGAGATCTGGGAACCAGTGGCCCCAGCACCTGCATAGATTCTGGTGAGCGCCTTAGCTGGGTGCCTGGACAGAACCCAGGGATGGGTAGTTGGTGAAAGTGGAGTGAGTGGTGAAGCTCATGTTGCCCAGGGAGGAGAGTGACGGACCCAGACTTTGCTGATGACCAAATTTCCTGTCTCTTTTTAGTATGCGAGTTTTGTTGTTGTTTAGTGAATGGATGTTGAATTACATCAAATTGTTTTTTTGCATTTAAGTTGGTTACATAATTTTTCATCCTCACATTGTGCATTAAATGTCTTTGTTTTCTGTTTTTAAACTGTTTTAGTTACCTTGTAAAGCTGGACATGCGATTCAGTAATCACATTATTAAGTGTATTCTGTATTCTGTAAAAATGATGTGCCCCTGGTGATGTGCACAGTAATGTTCACTAACCTTTGTACATAATCACGTCTCTGCAAAATTGTGGAAAACAGTTTGCACATTTATCAACCGTGAAATGGAAAAACACAATTTTGTTATTGTTACACAATGAAACACTAAATCTGTATGAACTACAGTTACATGTGTAGAAGTGGAGAAATGCAAACATATTATTAAGCACATCTAGCTAATTGCTGAATAACACATATACTATGATTTATCTTTATAATTTTTAAAGTTAGTGATGCTAAGCAAGTAGGTAGCAAAATTATAAAGAGTTGTAATAAGATTATAAAAATATTTGCAATAACATTTAACTTTGGGAAGGGAAAGGAGGTAATACTCAAAGGGCAGGGCAGAGAGGGCTGAAGGCATGTACTGGTGATCTTCTAATTCTTAAGCTGGATATAAGAGTGATAATTTTATTGTCTTTGAACCATTCTTATACATTTATACACTTTTAAAAATTAAAGATATATATCACAATTAAATACTTTAAAGAATAAATGTATAAATATATAGTTGACCACACTAAAGCAAAATTTTATTTCCATTAGGAAAGAAAAAATGCAGATACTGTAGAAAACTAACATTTTAAAAATATATAGATACATTTTTTGAGGAATAATCCATTCTAACTTTTTCTTTGACATTTTATTATGGGGCTATTATATATCATTTATTTATTACTTGCTTTTGCCAGTCTCCTTCAACACAGTATACCCAGCCCACAGTATATTGCCTGCTAAATAGTATTTGCTCAATAAATATTTGTACATTAATGAATGGGATAATGCATGAAAAATGGTGAAATGCAGGTGGAAAATGGAGAACTTACATAATATCTTCAATTTATCCTTACTTTGAGCCTCACACAACATTATTTAGGAATATTTAACTTTTTCTAACCAAGGACATATGTGATACAAGCAAATTGCATTGCATCCTGTAGTCACAAAATGAGCAACACCAACAAAAATCAAAAATATTTTGGGAATAAACTGAAAGAATAAGCTTACTTATTCGGCTGACTCTTTGCAGATGCATTTCATAGTTCTTTTTGAATTATAGCCCAATTTAAAGGAGACATTAGCTTTCTGCAATGTCTGCAAAATTGTCTTTCTGCCATAAAACATTAAAACATCCCACATTTTCCTGGGGGAAATATTATTTCTCAATTTATTATTGCAATAACAGAGACCATAGCTATGAGTGATAATCTCAGAATGGGGAATAAAATTACTGATACTTTTTCTAAATTTCCTGTGATGATAAATGCCTTGCCAGTAGAGTGGTTTTATCCCCTTTCAACAGAAGCATCAACTCGTTGCACTGCTTATCTTTGTCAGAAATATTCAAATGGCATCTGCACATATACTATACTTTCAGTTTGGAATCTCAATGAAAAACATAGCTTTATTTAGTTCTGGCAATGGTTAAACAGCTATGATACAATTTCAGAAAGGTTATTCCATAATGCATTCTTTAGTTTTGTATTAGGGGTTCTTCACTCTCTCTAAATCTGTAAAGAAGAAACCACAGCTTAAGTATACTTTTCAACCTTCCTCTCTGCCTTACAGAGATGAATTACTATAATGAATTAAAGTACTGTGGAATTGAACTGCCAAGAATTTGAAAGCTGCTTGCAACTGCCACATTAACATCAATATTAGCAGGAATGAAAAGGCAGATATAAATAAACCTGGACACATTATGCTAATTACATATTTTCTAAATATACCAAAGCATTAGTGTCATGTTACTTTTATATATCACAAGGCACTTATCCCATCTTCAAGAAGGCTTGCTGACTTATATAATGTAGATGAGAGATATGACCATAGATTCTAGTATTAAGTATTGATTGCTAACCTAGGCTAGCCTACATGAGGAGGTAGAAAATGAATATCTAGTGAACTGGTAGTGAACATGCTCCTCTCCCTCTGGTCATTCCCTTGTTTGAGTTTATGCAATATGTAGGTTGGTGCAAAAGTAATTGCGGTGTTTGTCATTAAAAGTAATTGCAAAAACTGCAATTACTTTTGCACCAATCTAATAAATTTTCAAATATTTATTTAGAGGGCAGTCAGGGAGAACATGGTGGTGTCTCTTTCTAAGCAACTCCATCAAATAGATCTGACTCTTTGTAGGGAAGACTTTAAATAAAGGCTGAGAGAAGTATTTTAATAAAAAGCATTCTAAGACTCCAGGAACCCAAAGGAATGTTTCAGAGTCTAACAGAAGAATAAAGAACATTCAGTAACAACTCAGCATTTTGAGGCTTTTCTAATTCTTGACCTGCCTAACCCAATGGTTCTCCCATAGCCTTGCAGACATCTCACAATGAAAATAAAGCTAGAGGACAAGAGCATACTTGAGCCCCTGAGCTTATAGGAAACCAATATGGGCCTCCCACCAAAAAATAGCTAAAGAGGAAGAAGTAATATATGTCTAATTAGAAATGAGGTCTCACATAAATGCAGACCAAAGTTACTGGTAAACTTGGGCTGCTGTGGCATGAGGGAATTTGTGTTGCACTTACATTATTATGTATAACCATATTCATATTCAAATGCTATTAAACCAGGCTACAGTAATTAAAACTTTATAATAGTTGGTTATATTTGAATTTTGCTACAGTTTAAATATATATTTTTTATCTGAAAATGACGCAAATTCATGCCACACGTTAAATATTGGAGATTTGTAGACTTTAAGCAAATTTTCCTCATCATACTTAAGGATTTTCTTTACACTTTTGGAGGATTCAAGAATATTTCAAACATACAGAAAAGGATATAAAATAATATAAAAACACCTTTGTACTCACAGCTAAAATTTTTCAAATATTTATATATTAATTTCAGATCTATTTTGTAAAACAATAAAAATACAGGGATTCCATTAAAATATATGGAACCTTTTTCTCCATCCTTTCTCCCCAGAGTTAACTATCATTTTAAAGTAAGTAAACTTCCTTGAGGTCTTTTTATGTTATCCATATTCCTATATTTCTGTAAATAATATACAACATTGGGACACTTGCTTTAAAATGTTGCCTAGGTGATAGATACCTTGGTCTTTCTGCTTTTATTTGGAAAAGGGCATTTTCTGTTCATAGAAAAGGATTGAGCTCATCCAGCAGCTGGAAGTCCTGAAGACTTGATACCCCTAGAGCAACCCTAAACAAATGGGAAGTGGGTGTTGGTAGAAAACACAAGATTTAGTCACTCTTTAGATTTTGAGCCATATTCCACAACAGTTCTGTAGGTACCCAGAGGAAGTGAGCGAGAGTTGGCTACAGCAGTAACACATACACTTAACATAACTCATATTGGTTTTCTTCCCTTTTATTCTTTCTTACACCCCCACTCTTTCTTCTTTCTGTGTGTGTCTTTCAAGCAAACTACTTGCCCCTCAATTTTTGTTTGATGGTTTACCTTTGGGGTACCCCCACTCTGAAACATGCGGTCTAACAGGCCCTTTATGCATTTATTTCCTTGATTTTTTCTAGTACTTGTTTCGTCACAGGGTGAACAAAAGTTCTCTGAGAAGTAATTTGGAGGAAAGACACTATATTCCAGTGAACAATTTGCAAACCAAGAAGACGCAGCCTTTGGTGTAAAATCAAGGTGCATTCTAGAAAAAAAGAAGAGTGCTCGCGTTTTACACCGAAAGTTCCTGCCTAGGTTTCCAATCAACTTCATTTACGGAAAAGAATTGAAACTCACTTAATACTAATTGTTCAGCACAGCTGAGTTCTAATCGGTTGGCTTCCATGGCTCAAACCAAAAGTCTTTGTCAGATTTTTCTTTCAAATGACCCATGTGGATGGGGGAGTTCTGGGCTCAGTTTATCTCGGCACCAACAAAACAGGAACTGATTTGTCTTGATTGTAGAAATGGAGGTCCTGTGATATTTTTACAACGTCCTTCTGAGAACACAAAGTATGTGACCACTTCCTCACTCAGACATGGCCACCTAGGTCTGCTTTAACTTTGAGCACCTTAGTTAGCCAAGAGAAGTCCATTTTGTCTGTTGGCCAGATGGCACACTTTAACACAAAGACACAAAAATAGCAATCGCACTGACTCATTTGATATTCTGGGATAAGGGATATTAATTTACATCTCTATGCTTGGTCTGATCTCACATATACTCTCTGTCGCCTTCCTCCATGACGTGTACTTTATCAGACGTGGCATGCTCTCACCCCCATGCCTTTGCCCATGCTGTTGCTGTTACCTCTTGCCTGGAATGATCTTTACCACTGTCACTGCAGTCCTACTCCTCTTTCAAGATTCTGTTCAAAAGTTAACCCCTGAGACTCTCCTCAATAACCTGCTCTCAAATCTGAATTATAATCTCTTCAAAATTTCCATAATACTTTTTCAACTATTAGGACTGACCAGAATGTTTGGTTGGAAATACTACCACTTCATTACATATCTATGCTTAGTTTATCAATTAATTGATAGCATAAGCTGTGCCTTGGTGATACTTGTCTGTATAATTATTGTCTATGTTATATAAATGTTCGTATAATAAACCAATAATAAATAAAATTAAATCTATTTTTAAAGTTTGTAAATTAATTTTGTGAACTAGAATTAACTAAGTAGAATTGATAGATAAATTGTGATCAAAGCTTTTGAATTGTATACAGTACTTTTTAGTTATTCTGAAAAAGTGACATGGTAAAATGTAAATCATATTGTTTGCACAACAGATAAATATGGTAGACTGTAAAACTGTCTGCAATTGCTCATCTTTTCCAATAGCAACACTCCACACCCCTGTTTTTGCTTTGTCAGGTGCACAGAGTGCATCCTCATTCCTAGATCGTGGATTTAGCTAAGTTATTGGCTTTGGACAAAGGCATCTGTGTAAAAATGACAATGAACTAGTTATACAGCAAGGCCATAAGAGGACACACGTAATTCTGGTGTGTTTGTGTATGTATGTGTTTGTGTGTGCTTGTGCATGTGCACCTTTGCCATTACCACCAAAACAGTCCCCTTTGGATAATCGCCATTCCAGGCCCTGAAGGAGACACATGGAAAAGACAAAAGGTATTTAGACCCATATTCTGGAAAAGAGAAACCCCAGCTAAGAGCAGGCTGTCAAGCTTCATCTCCAGGAGAAATCCTAGTAGTAGTTCCTGTCATGTAAAAAAATGTGAGTCCAAAAATATAGCATGGTACAAGAATAAGTTAATTGTTAATACTATTTTCCTAATTTTATTGTTTTTCAATTTTACATTATAATTTAAATTGTCTGTAGGTTCGAACATGTCAGCCAGGTTGTATTTTCACTGTTTTGACACAGACCCTCAAAAATGATGAATTATAAGCTTCAATGACTTCCACCTACAGTTGAATTCAATGAAAACAATAATTTTAAAAAAATCCAGGTACTAGGGGAAAGGAAAAGTATCAATTATTTCCCATTGACCCACAGTTATGATGAGCTTATCAAAAAACCAGCTGCATTCCACTCAAATAATTTAGACATGCCTCTGGCACTAAAAACTAATTACCCTTTTTTTACACTTAATAAATCACATAAATCATAATGTTTAATTTTA